>NT_167218.1:0-179693 GCF_000001405.40 Homo sapiens | reverse complement strand
GAATTCCAGAACACTGCTAAGAGAGTCTGAAAATTTGTCCATCATATAGGATTCTAGAACACTTCTAAGGGGTTCTGAAATATTCTCCATCGTATAGGATTCTACAACACTCCTGCTGTGGTCTGAATTTTTGTCCCCCACTTAGGATTCCAGAACACTGCTGTTGGGTTCTGAGTGTTTGCCCCTCACGTACGATTCAAGAACACTGCTACGTAGGAATAAATCTTTGTCCCTCACATAGGATTCCAGAACATTGCTGCCGGGTTCTGAATGTTTTTCCCTCACATAGGATTCCAGTACACTGCTACGAGGTTCTGAATGTTTCTCCCGAACAAAAGATTCCAGAACACTGTTACGATGGTCTGAATGTTTTTGCCTCACATAGGATTCCAGAACACTGCTGCTGGGTTTCGAGTGTTTGTCGCTCATATAGGATTCCAGAACACAGCTACGAAGGTCTGAATGTTTGTCCATCACATAAGGTTCCAGAACACTGCTACGAGGGTCTGAATGTTTGTCCCTCAGATAGGGTTCCACAACACTGCTGCTTTCGTCTGAATGTTTATCCCTCACATAGGATTCCAGAACACTCCTGCTGTGGTCTGAATGTTTGTCCCTCACCCACGATTCCAGGACACTGCTGCTGTGGTCAGAGTGTTTGTCCCTCACATAGGATTCCAGAACACTCCTGCTGTGGTCTGTATGTTTGTCCTTCACTTAGGATTCTGGAACAATGCTACGGGGGTCTGTATGTTTGTCCCACACGTAGGATTCCAGAACACCCCAGCTGTGGTCTGAATGATTGTCCCTCACATAAGATTCCAGAATACCGCTGCTGCATTTTATGTGTTTCTCCCTCTCATGGGATTCCAGAACACTCCTACTGTGCTTTGAATGATTGTCCCTCACTTAGGATTCCAGAACACTGCTGCTGGGTTCTAAGTGTTTGTCCCTCACTTACGATTCCAGAACACTGCTACGTGAGTCTTAATGTTTGTAACTCTCATAGGATTCCATAACACTCCTGCTGTGATCTGAATGTTTGTACCTCACATAGGATTCCAGAACACTGCTGGTGGATTCTGAGTGTATCTCCTTCACATAAGATTCCAAAACACAGCTACAAGGGTCTGAATGTTTGTACCTCACATGCTATTCCAGAACACTGCTGCTGTGGTCTGAATTTTTGTTCATCACAAAAGATTCCAGAACACTCCTGCTGTGGTGTGAATGTTTGTCCCTCGTTTAGGATTTGAGAACACTGCTGTTGGGTTCTGAGTGCTTGTCCCTCAAGTACATTTCAAGAACACTGCTAGGTGGGTGTAAATGTTTGTCCCTCACATAGGACTCCAGAACACTGCTACGAGGCTCTGAATGTTTGTCTCTCACATAGGATTCCAGAACACTGATGCTGTGGTCTGAATGTTTGTCCCTAACATAGGATTCCAGAACACTTCTGCAGTTGTCTGAATGTTCATCCCTCATTTAGGATTCCAGAACACTGCTGCTGTGGTCTGAATTTTTGTTCATCACATAGGATTCCAGAACACTGCTACGAGGTTCTGAACTATTCTATGTCACATAGGATTTCAGAACACTCCTGCTGTGTTCTGAATGTTTGTCCCTTACTTAGGATTCCAGATCACTGCTGTTGGGTTCTGAGATTTAGTCCCTCGTGTAAGATTCCAGAACACTGCTATGTGGGTCTAAATGTTTGTCCGTCCCATAGGATTCCAGAACACTCCTGCTGTGGTCTGAATGTTTGTCCCTCATATAGGATTCCAGAAAACTGTTGCTGGGATTGAGGGTTTTTCCCTCACGTACTATTCCAGAACACTGCTACGTGGGACAGAATGTTTGCCCCACATATGGGATTTGAGAACGCTGCTAAGAGGATCTGAAAGTTTGTCCCTCAAACAAGATTCCAGAACACTGCTGCTGTTGTCTGAATGTTGTACTCACTTAGTATTCCAGAACGCTACTGCTTTGGACTGAATGTTTGTTCCTCACTTAGGATTCCATAACAGTACTACGAGGGTCTGAATGTTTGTCCCACACGTAGGATTCCAGAACACCCCAGCAGTGATCTGAATGACTCTCCCTCACATAGGATTCCAGAACACTGCTGCTGGGTTCTGAGTGTTTCTCCTCACATATGATTCCAGAACACTGCTTCGAGAATCTGAATGATTGTACCTCATATAGGATTCCATAACACTACTGCTCTGGTTTGAATATTTCTCCCTCAGATAGGATTCCAGAACACTGCTGCTGGCTTCTGAGTGTTTGTCCCTCACATAGGATCCAAGAACACTGCTACGTGTGTCTAAATGCTTGTCCATCACATAGGATTCCAGAACGCTGCTACAAAGTTCTGAAAGTTTGTCCATCACATAGAATTCCAGAACACTGCTATGAGTGTCTGAATATTTGTCCCTCAAATAGGATTCCAGAACACTCCTGTTTGGTTCTGAGTGTTTGTCCCTCACTTACGATTCCAGAACACTGCTACGTGGGTCTAAATATTTCTCCCACACATAGGATTCCAGAACACTCCTGCTGTATTCTGAATGTTATTTCCCTCACATAGGATTCCAGAATACTGCTGCTGGGTTCGCAGTGTTTGTCCCACACATAGGATTCCAGAACACTGCTACGAGAGTCTGAATGTCTCTCCTCCACATAGGACTCCAGAACACTGCTATGAGGGTCTGAATGTTTGTACCTGACATAGGAATCCAGAACACTACTGTTCTGCTGTGAATGTTTGTCCCTCACATATGATTCCAGAACACTCCTGCTGTGGTCTGAATGTCTGTCCCTCTCTGAGGATTCCAAAAGAATGCTACGAGTGTCTGAATGTTTATGTCACACGAAGGATTTCAGAACACCACAGGTGTGGTTTGAGTGATTGACCCTCACATAGGATTCCATAACGCTGTTACTGGGTTCTGAGTGTTTGTCCCTCACGTACGATTCCAGAACACTGCTACTTGGGTCTAAATGTTTGTCCCTTATATAGGACTCCAGAACAGTGTTACGAGGGTCTGAAAGTTTTTCCATCACATAGGATTTCAGACACTGCTACGAGTTTCTTAATTATTCCCCGTCACATATGATTCCAGAACAGCCCTGCTGTCGTCTGACTGTTTGTCCCTCAGGATACCAGAACACTGCTGGTGTGTTCTGAGTGTTTGTCCCTCACGTAAGATTCCAGAACACTGCTACGTGGGTCTAAATGTTTGTCCCTCACATACTATTCCAGAACAATGCTGCTGTAGTCTGAATGCTTTTTCCTCATACAGGATTCCAGAACACTGCTGCTGGGTTGTGAGTGTTTCTCCCTCACATAGGATTCCAGAACACTGCTACGAGGGTCTGAATGTTTGTCCCACACATAGGATTCCAGAACACTGCTGCTATGGTCTGAATGTATGTCCCTCACATAGGATTCCAGAACACTCCTGCTGGGTTCTGAATGTTTGTCCCTCACTTAGCATTCCAGAACAATGTTACAAAGGTCTCAATGTTTGTCCCACAGGTAGAATTCCAGAATACCTCAGCTGTGACATGAATGATTGACCCTCATATAGGATTCCAGAACACTGCTGCTGGGTTCTGAGTGTTTCTCCCTCACATAGGATTCCAGAACACTGCTACGAGGGTCTGAATGTTTGTCCCACACATAGGATTCCAGACCACTGCTACGATGGTCTGAAACTTTGTCCATTACATAGGATTTCAGAACACTCCTTCTGTGGTCTCAATGCTTGTCCCTCACTTAGGATTCCAGAACACTGCTGTTGGGTTGCGAGTGTTTGTCTCTCACATACGATTCCAGAACACTACTATGTGTGTCTAAATATTTGCCCTGATATGTGATTCCAAAACACTCCTGCACTGGTCTGAATGTTTCTCCCTCAGATAGGATTCGAGAACACTGATGCTGGCTTCTGAGTGTTTGTCCCTCACATACGATCCCAGAACACTGCTACGTGTGTCTAAGTATTTGTCCATCATATAGGATTCCAGAACACTGATACGAGGGTCTGAAAGGTTGTCCATCACATAGGATTCCAGAACACTCCTGCTGTGGTCTGAATGTTTGTCCCTCACTTAGGATTCCAAAACACTGCTGTTGGGTTCTGAGTGTGTGTCCCTTATATAGGATTCCAGATCTCTACTACAAAGGTCTGAATGTTTGTCCCTCACATAAGATTCCAGAACACTGCTATGAGAGTATGAATGTTTTTCCCTCACATAGGATTCCAGAACACTGCTATGAGGTTCTGAATGTTTGTCCCTCACATAGGATTCCAGAACACTGTTGCTGTGGCCTGAACGTTTGTACATCACATAGGATTCCAGAACACTGCTACGAAGTTCTGAATTATTCTCCACACATAGGCTTCCAGAACACTCCTGCTGTGGTCTGAATGTTTGTCCCTTACTTAGGATTCCAGAACACTGCTGTTGGGTTCTGAGTGTTTGTTCCTCACATGGAATTGCAGAACACTCCTGCTGTTGTCTGTATGTTTGTCCCTCACTTAGGATTCCGGAACAATGCTACAAGGGTCTGAATGTTTGTCCCTCACATAAGATTCCAGAACACTGCTACGAGGGTCTGAATGTTTGTCCATCACATAGTATTCCAGAACACTGATGCTGTGGTGTGAAGGTTTGTCCCTCACATAGGATTCCAGAACACTGCTATGGAGGTCTGAAAGTTTGTCCCTCACAAAAGATTCCAGAACACTACTACGAGGGTCTGAATGTTTGTCCCTCACATAGGATTCCAGAACACGCCTTTGGTGGTCTGAATGTTTGTCCCTCACATAGGATTACAGAACACTCCTGCTGTGGTCTGTATGTTTGTCCCTCACTTAGGATTCCGGAACAATGTTACGAGGGTCTGAATGTTTATCCCTCACATAAGATTCCAGAACACTCCTACGAGGGTCTCAATGTCTGTCCCTCACATAAGATTCCAGAACACTGCTGCTGTGGTCTGAATGCTTGTCCCTCACTTAGGATACAGGAACAGTGCTCCTGTCGTTTGAACATTTCTCCATCACATGGGATTCCAGAACAGTGCTACGGGGTTCTGAATTATTCTCCATCACATAGGATTCCAGAAAACTCCTACTGTGGTCTCAATGTTTGCCCTGCACGTGGGATTCCAGAAAACCCCAGCTGTGGTATGAATGTTCCTCCTATAGGATTCCAGAACACTCCTGCTCTCGTCTGAATGTTTCTCCCTCAGTTAGGATTCCAGAACACTGCTGCGTTCTGAGTATTTGTCCCTTATATTCGATTCCAGAACACTGCTACGTGGGTCTAAATTTTAGTCCATCACATAGGATTCTAGAATATTGCTACAAGCGTCTGAAAGGTGTCCATCACAATAGGATTTCAGAACACTGGTACGAGGTTCCGAATCATTCTCTGTCACATAGGATTCCAGAACACTCCTGTTGTCTGAATATTTGTCCGTCACTTAGGATTCCAGCACACTGCTGTTGGGTTCTGAGTGTTTGTTCCTCACTTACGATTCCAGAACACTGCTACGTGGGTCTACAGTTTTGTAACTCACATAGGATTCCAGAACACTCCTGCTGTGGTCTGAATATTTGTCCATCACATAGGATTCCAGAACATTTCTGCTGTGGTCTGAATGTTTGTCCCTCAGGTAGGATTCCAGAACAATGCTATGAAGGTCTGAATGTTTGTCCCACACGTAGGATTCCACAACAACCCAGTTGTGGTCTGAATGATTGGCCCTCACATAGGATTCCAGAACACTGCTCCTTTTCTCTGAGTGTTTGTCACTCACATAGGATTCCAGAACACTGCTCCTTTTCTCTGAGTGTTTGTCACTCACATAGGCGTCCACAACACTCCTGCTCTGGTCTGAATGTTTCTCCCTCGAATAGGATTCCAGAACACTGCTGCTGGGATCTGAGTGTTTATCCCTCATATAGGATTCCAGAAGACTGCTACCGGTGTCTGATCGTTTGTACCTCACATAGGATTCCAGAACATTCCTGCTCTGATCTGAATGTTTCTCCCTCAGATACAACACCAGAACACTGCTGCTGGATTCTGAGTGTTTCTCCCTCACTTATGATTCCAGAACACTGCACGTGGGTCTACTTGTTTGTCCCTCACATAGTGTTCCAGAACACTGCTGATGTGGTCTGAATATTTGTCCCTCACATAGGATTCCAGAAGACTGCTGCTGGGTTCTGCATGCTTCTCCCTCACATTGGATTCCAGAACACTGCCACGATGGTCTGATTTATTGTACCTCACTTAGGATTACAGGAATTTCCTGCTCTGGTTTGAATGTTTCACCCTCAAGTAGGATTCCAGAACACTGCTGCTGGGTTCTGAGTGTTTGTCCCACACATACGATTCCAGAACTCTGCTACGTGGGTCTAAACATTTCTCCTTCACATAGTATTCCAGAACACTGCTGCCGTGGTCTGAAGGTTTGTCCCTCCCATAGGACTCCGGGACCATGCTGCTGGATTCTCAGTGTTTGTCCCTCAAATAGGATTCAAGAACACTGCTACTAGGGTCTGAAAGTTTGTCTGTCACATAGGATTCGATAACACGGTTGTGAGGTTCTGAATTATTCTCTGTCACATAGGATTCCAGAACACTCCTGCTGTGTTCAGAATGTTCGTCTCTCACTTGAGATTCCAGAACACTGCTGTTGGGTTCTGAGTGTTTTTTCTTCACGTACGATTCCAGAACACTTCTACATGGGTCTAAATGTTTGTCCTTCACATAGGATTGCAGAACACTGCTGGTGTGTTCTGAATGTTAGTCCATCACTTAGTATTCCAGAACACTGCTGCTGGGTTCTGAGTGTTTCTCCCTCAAATAGGATTCCAGAACATTGCTAATAGGGTCTGAATGATTGTCCCTCACATAAGATTTCAGAACACTCCTACGAGGGTCTGAATGTTTGTCCCTCACATAGGATTCCAGAACACTGCTGCTGTGGTCTCAATGCTTGTCCCTCACTTAGGACACCAGAACAGTGCTCCCGTGATTTGAACGTTTCTCAATCACATAGGATTTCAGAACAGTGCTGGGGGGTCTGAATTTTTCTCCATCACATAGGATTCCAGAACACTCCTGCTCTATTCTTAATGTTTCTCCCTCAGTTAGGATTCTAGTACACTGCTGCTGGGTTCTGAGTGTTTGTCCCTTACGTTCGTTTCCAGAACACTGCTAAGTGGGTCTAAATGTTTGTCCATCACATAGGATTCTAAAATATTGTTACAAGCGTCTGAAAGTTGTTCATCAGATAGGATTCCAGAGCACTGCTACGAGGTTCTGAATTATTCTCCGTCACATAGGATTCCAGAACACTCCTACTGTCCTCTGAATATTTGTCCGTCACTTAAGATTCCAGAACACTGCTGTTGGGTTCTGAGTTTTTGTCCCTCACATACGATTCCCGAACACTGCTACGTGGGTCTAACAGTTTGTCACTCACATAGGATTCCAGAACATTCATGCTGTGGTCTGAATGTTTGTCTCTCACTTAGGATTCCAGAACAATGCTACGAGGGTCTGAATGTTTGTCCAACATGCAGGATTCCAGAACACCCCAGCTGTGATCTGAATGATTGTCCCTCACATAGGATTCCAGAACACTCCTGCTCTCGTCTGAATGTTTGTCCCTCACGTAGGATTCCAGAAGACTGCTACTGCTGTCTGAATGTTAGTCACTCACATAGGATTCCAGAACACTCCTGCTGTGGTCTGTATGTTTGTCCCTCCACTAGGATTCCAGAACACTGCTGCTGTGTTCTGAATGTTTGTCCCTCACAAATGATTCCACAACACTCCTGCGAAAGTCTGAGTGTTTGTCCCTCACATAGGATTCCAGAACACTGCTGCTGGGTTATGAGTGATTGTCCCTCACTTAGGATTCCAGAACACTGTTATGAGGGTCTGAATGTTTGTCCCTCACATAAGATTCCACAACACTGCTACGAGGGTCTGAATGTTTGTCCCTCATTTAGGATTCCAGAACACTCCTGCTGTGGTCTCAATGTTTGTCCCTCACCTAGGATTCCAGAATAATGCTATGAAGGTCTGAATGTTTGTCCCTCACATAGGATTCCAGAACACCCCAGCTGTGGTCTGAACGATTGTTCCTCACATAGGATTCCAGAAGACTCCTGCTATGGTCTACATGTTTATCCCTCAGTTAGGATTCCAGAACACTGCTGCTGGGTTCTGAGTGTTTGTCCCTTACGTTCGATTCCAGAACACTGCTAAGTGGGTCTAAATGTTTGTCCATCACATAGGATTCTATAATATTGCTAAGAGCGTCTGAAAATTGTCCATCACATAGGATTAGAGAACACTGCTACGAGGTTCTGAATTATTCTTCGTCACATAGGATTCCAGAACACTCCTCCGGTCTTCTGAATATTTGTCCATCATTTAGAATTGAAGCACACTGCTCTTGGGTTCTGAGTGTTTGTCCCTCACGTATGATTCCAGAACACTTCTACGTGGGTCTAATGGAATCACATAGGATTCCAGAAAAATCCAGCTGTGGTCTGAATATTTGTCCGTCACGTAATATTCCAGAACATTACTGCTGTGGTCTGAATGTTTGTCCCTCACTTAGGATTCCAGAACACTACTACTGTTGTTTGAACGTTTGTCGCACAATTAAGATTCCAGAGCGATGCTACGAGGGTCTGAATATTTGTCCAACACGCAGGATTCAAGAACACCCCAAGTGTGGTCTGAATGATTGTCCCTCACATAGGATTCTAGAACACTCCTGCTCTTGTCTTAATGTTTGACCCTCCTGTAGGATTCCAGAGCACTGCTGCTTTGGTCTAAATGTTTGTCCCTCATTTAGGATTCCAGAACACTGCTGCTGTTGTCTGAATGTTTGTCCCCCACGTAAGATTCCAGAACACTGCTACGTGGGTCTAAATGTTTGTCTCACTTATAGGATTCCAGAACACTGCTACGACGTTCTGAAAATTTGTCCCTCAGATATGATTCCAGAACACTGCTGCTGTGTTCTGAATTTTGTCCCTCACAAAGGATTCCTGAAGACTCCTGCTTTGGTCTGAATGTTTGTCCCTCACTTATGATTCCAGAACACTGCTACATGTGTCTAAATGTTTGTCCCTCACATAGGATTCCAGAATATTCCTGCTGTGGTCTGAATGTTTCTCTCTCACATAGGATTCCAGAACAATGTTGCTGGGGTCTGGAATTTTCTCCCTCACATAGGATTCCAGAACACTGCTACGAGAGTCTAAATGATTGTACCACACGTAGCACTCCAGAACACTCGTGCTCTGGTCTGAATGTTTCTCCCTCAGATAGGATTTGAGAACACTGCTGCTGTGTTCTGAGAGTTTGCCCCTCATGTACGATTCCAGAACACTGCTACGTGAGTCTAAATATTTGTCCACCACATAAGATTCCAGAACACTGCTTTTGGGTTCTGAGTGTTTGTCCCTCACATATGATTCCACAACACTACAACGTGTGTCTAAATGTTTGTCCTTCACATAGGATTCCAGAACCCTCCTGCTGTGGTCTGAATGTTTGTCCCTCACATAAGATTCCAGAACACTGCTACAGGATTCTGAATGTTTGTTCCTCACCCAGGATTCCAGAACATTGCTGTTGTGGTCTGAATGTTTGTCCCTCACATAGGATCCCAGAACACTCCTGCTGTTGTCTGAATGTTTGTCCCACATGTAGGATTCCAGAAAAACCCAGCAGTGTTCTGAATGATTGTTCCTTACATAGGATTCCAGAACACTCCTGCTCTGGTCTGAATGTTTCTCCCTCACATAGGATTCCAGAACACTGCTACGAATGTCTGAATGATTCTTCCTCACATAGGATTCCAGAACACTCCTGCTCTGTTCTGAATGTTTCTCCCTCAGATAGGATTCCAGAACACTGCTGCTGGGTTCTGAGTGTTTGTTCCTCAAGTACGATTCCAGAACACTGCTACGTGGGTCTACGTTTGTCCATTACTTAGGATTCCAGAACACTGCTACGAGGGTCTGAAAGTTTGTCCATTACATAGGATTCGAGAACACTGCTACGAGGTTCTGAACTATTTTCCATCACGTAGGATTCCAGAACACTCCTGCTGTCGTCTGAATGTTTGTCCCTCACTTATGATTATAGAACACTGCTGTTGGTTTCTTAGTGTTTGTCCCTCACGAACGATTCCAACACTGCTACTTGGGTATGAATGTTTGTCTGTCACATAGGATTTCAGAACTCTCCTGCTGTGGTCTGAATATTTGTCCCTGTCTTAGGATTCCAGAACTCTGCTGCTGTGGTCTGAATGTTTGTCCCTCACAGAGGATTCCAGAACACTGCTGCTGTGGTCTGAAAGCTTTTCCCTCACATAAGATTCTGAACAGTGTTACGAGGGTCTGAATGTTTCTCCCACACTCAGGATTCCAGAACACACTAGCTGTGGTCTGAATGACTGTCCCTCATATAGGATTCCAGAACACTGCATCTGGGTTCTGAGTGTTTCTCCCTCACAAAGGATTCCAGACCACTGCTACGGGGTTCTGAATATCTGTCCTTCACATAAGATTCCAGAACACGGCTTCATGTGTCTCAATTTTGGTCCCTCACATAAGATTTCAAAACACTGCTGCTGTGGTCTAAATTTTTGTCCCTCACATAGGATTCCAGAACTCTCCTGCTGTTGTCTGAATATATGTACCTCACTTTGGACTCCAAAACAGTGCTACGAGGGTCTGAATGCTTGTGCTACACATGGGATTATAGAACACGCCATCTGTGGTCTGAATGATTGTCCCCCAAATGAGATTCCAGAACACTGCTACTGGGTTCTGTTTCACCCTCACATAGGATTCCAGAACACTGCTACAAGGTTCTGAATGTTTCTCCCTCAGATAGGATTCCAGAACACTCCTTCTCTTTTCTGAATGTTTCTCCTTCACATAGGATTCCAGAACTCTGCTACGAGAGTCTGAATGTTTGTCCCTCACATAATATTCCAGAACACTGCTACGAGGTTCTGAATGTTTGTTCCTCACATGGGATTCCAGAGCAGTGCTGCTGTGTTCTGAAAGTTTGTCCCTCACATAGGATTCCAGAACACTCCTCCTGTGGTCTGAATGTGTCTTCTTCACTTAGGATTCCAGAGAAATGCTACGTGGGTCTAAATGATTTTACCTCACATAGGATTACAGAACAATCCGGCTGTGGTCTGAATGTTTCTCCCTCAGATAGGATTCCAGAACACTGCTACGATGGTCTGTATCTTGGTCCTTCACATAGGATTCCAGAACACTCCTGCTGTCGTCTGAAAGTTTGTCCCTCACTGAGGATTCCAGAACAATGCTAGGAGGGTCTGAATGTTTGTCCCACACGTAGGATTCCAAATCATACCAGATTTTGTCTGAATGATTGACTCTCACATAGGATTCCAGAACACTGCTGCTGAATTCTGAGTGTTTGCACTCACATATGATTCCAGAACACTTCTGCTCTGGTCTGAATGTTTCTACCTCAGAGCGGATTCCAGAAAATTGCTGCTGGTTTCTGAGTGTTTGTCCCTCACGTACGATTCCAGAACACTGCTACGTAGGTCTAAAGATTTGTCCTTCTTATAGGATTCCAGAACACTGCTAAGAGGGTCTGAAAGTTTGTCCCTCAGAAAGGATTCCAGAACACTGCTGCTGTGGTCTGATAGTTGTCCCTCACATAGGATTCCAGAAGACTCCTGCTGTGGTCTGAATGTCCCTCACATAGTATTCCAGAACACTCCGGCTGTGATCTGAATGTTTGTCCAACACGTAGGATTCCAGAACACCCCAGCTGTGGACTGAATGATTGTCCCTCTCATAGGATTCCAGAAAACTCCTGCTGTGGTCTGAATGTTTCTCCCTCACATAGGATTCCACAACATTGCTACGAATGTCTGAATGATTGTAGCTCACATAGGATTCCAGAACACTCCTGCTGTAGTCTGAATGTTTCTCCTTCAGATAGGATTCCAGAACACTGCTGATGGGTTCTGAGAGTTGGTCCCTCACCGACGATTCCAGAACACTGCTACGTGGGTCTAAATGTTTGTCCATTACTTAGGATTCCAGAACACGGGTACGAGGGTCTGAAACTTTGCCCATTACATAGGATACGAGAACACTCCTACGAGGTTCTGAATTATTCTCCATCACGTAGGATTCCAGAACACTCTTGCTATGGTCTGAATATTTGTCCCTTACTTAGGATCCCAGAACACTGCTGTTGGGTTATGAGTGTTTGTCTCTCACGAACGATTCCAGTACACTGCTACGAGGGTCTGAATGTTTGTCCCTCACATAAGATTATAGAACACTGCTACGATGGTCCGAATGTTAGTCCCCCACATAGGATTCCAGAAAACTACTGCTGTGGTCTGAATGCCCCTCACATAGGATTCCAGAACACTCCTCCTGTGGTCTGAATGTTTGTCCCTCACGTAGGATTCCAGAATACTGCTGTTGTTGTCTGAAAGTTTGTACCTCATATAGGATTACAGAACACTGCTAAGAGGGTATTAATCTCTGTCCCTCACGTAGGATAAAAGAACACTCCTGCTGTGGTCTGAATGTTTGTCCCTCACTTTGGATTCCAGAACAATGCTACAAGGTTCTGAATGTTTGTCCCACACGTAGGATTCCAGAGCACCCCAGCTGTGTCTGAATGACTGTCCCTCACATAGCATTCCAGAATATTCCTGCTCTTGTCTGAATGGTTCTCCCACAGATAGAATTCCAGGACAGTGCTGCTGGGTTCTGAGTGTTTGACCCTCACTTATGATTCCAGAACACAGCTACGTGGGTCTAAATGTTTGTCCCTCATACAGGATTCCAGAAAACTGCTACGAGGGTCTGAATGTTGTCCATCACATAGGATTCCAGAATACTGCTACGAGGTTCTGAATTATTCTCCATCACATAGGATTCCAGAACACTCCTTCTGTGGTCTGAATGTTTGTTCCTCACTTAGAATTCCAGAACACTACGGTTGGGTTCTGAGGGTTTGTCCCTCACGTACAATTGCAGAACACTAGTACGTGGGTCTAAATGTTTTTCCCTCACATAGTATTACAGAACACTGCTGCTGTTGTCTGAATGTTTGTCCCTCACAAAGGATTCCAGAACACTGCTGCTGATTTCTGAGTGTTTCTCCCTCACATAGGATTCCAGAACACTGCTACAAAAATCTGAATGATTATACCTCACAGAGGATCCCCGAACACTCCTGCTCTGGTCCGAAAGTTTCTCCCTCAGATAGGATTGCAGAACACTGCTGCTGGGTTCTGAGTGTTTGTCCCTAACATACAATTCCAGAACACTGCTAAGTGGGTCTAAATGTTTATTCTTCATGTAGGATACCAGAACACTGCTGCTATGGTCTGAATGTTTGTCCCTCACTTAGGATTTCAGAACCATACTACGGGGGTCTGAATGTTTGTCCCTCACATAAGATTCCGGAACACTGATACGAGAGTCTGCGTGTTAGTCCCTCACATAGGATTCCACAGATAGGATTCCAGAACACTGCTGATGTGTTCTGAGTGTTTGACCCTCATATAGGATTCCAGAGCACTGCTACATGTGTCTAAAGGTTTGTCCCTCACATAGGATTCCAGAACACTGCTGTGAGGGTCTGAAAGTTTGTCCATCACATAGGTTTCCAGAACACTGCTACGAGGTTCTAAATTATTCTCCATCACATAGGATTCCAGAACACTCCTGCTGTGGTCTGAATGTTTGTCCCTCACTTAGGATTCCAGAACACTGCTACTTGTTTCTGAGTGTTTCTCCCTCACATAGCATTCCAGAACACTGGTACAAAGGTCTGAATGATTGTACCTCACGTAAGATTCCAGAACACTCCTACTCTGGTCTGAATGTTTCTCCCTTAGATAGTATTCCAGAACACTGCTGCTGAGTTCTGAGTGTTTGTCCTCACTTAAGATTCTAGAACACTGCTACGTGGGTCTAAATGTTTATCCCTCATATAGGATTCCAGAACACTGCTACGAGTTTCTGAATTATTCTCTGTTACATAGGATTCCAGAACTCTCCTGCTGAGGTCTGAATGTTTCTCCCTCACATAGGATTCCAGAACATTTCTGCTGGGTTCTGTGTGTTTCTCCCTCACATAGGATTCCAGAACACTGCTAAGAGGTTCTCAATGTTTGTCCATCACATATGATTCCAGAACCCTGCTACGAGTTTCTGAATTATTCTCTGTTATATATGATTCCAGAACACTCCTGGTGAGGTCCGAATGTTTCTCCCTCACATAGGATCTCAGAATATTTCTGCTGGGTTCTGTGTTTTTCTCCCTCACATAGGATTCCAGAACACTGCTACAAGTGTCTGAATGATTGTACCTCACGTAGTATTCCAGAACTCCCCAGGTATGGTCGGAATGATTGTCCCTCACATAGGATTCCAGAACACTCCTACTCTGGTCTGAATATTTGTCCCTCACGTAGGATTCCAGAACAATGCTACGAGGGTCTGAATGTTTGTCCAACACGTAGGATTACAGAACACCCCAGCTGTGTTATGAATGATTGTCCCTCACATAGGATTCCAGAAAACTCCTGCTCTGGTCTGAATGTTTCTCCCTCAGATAGGATTCCAGAACTCTGCTATGAATGTCTGAATGATTGTACCTCACATAGGATTCCAGAAGACTCCTGCTTTGGTCTGAATGTTCGTCTCTCACTTAGGATTCCATAACACTACTGTTGGGATGTGAGTGTTTGTCCCACACGTACGAATCCAGAACACTGCTATGTGGGTCTAAATGTTTGTCCCTCACAAAGGATTGCAGAACACTCCTGCTGTGGTCTGAATGTGTGTCCGTCACATAAGATTCCAGAACACTTCTGCTGTTGACTGAATATGTGTCCCTCACTTAGGATTCCAGAACATTCGTGCTCTGGTCTAAATGTTTGTTCCTCACATATTATTGCAGATCACTCCTGTGGTCGTCTGAATGTTTGTCCCTCACATAGGATTCCACAGCACTTCTGCTGTGGACTGAATGTATGTCCCTCACTTAAGATTCCAGAAGACTGCTGTTGGGTTCTGAGTGTTTCTCCCTCACTTACGATTCCAGAACACTGTTACGTGGGTCTGAAGGTTTTTCCCTCACATAGGATGCCAGAACATTGCTACGAGGGTCTGAATATTTGTCCCACACGTAGGATTCCAGAACACCCCAGCTGTGGTCTGAATGACTGTCCCTGACATACGTTTCCAGAACACTGCTGCTGGGTTCTGAGTGTTTCTCCCTCAGATAAGATTCCAGAACACTGCTATGAGGGTATGAATTTCTAAACCTCACATAGGATTCCAGAACACTCCTGCTATTGTCTGAGTGTTTGTCCCTCATGTAGGATTCCTGAACACTCCTGCTGTGGTCTAAATGTTTGTTCCTCACATACTATTTCAGAACACTCCTGCTGTCATCTGAATGTTTGTCCCTCACATAGGATTCCAGAACAATGCTACGAGGGTCTGAATGTTTGTCCCACACTTAGGATTTCAGAACACCCCAGCATTGGTCTGAATGATTGTTCCTCACATAGGATTCCAGAACACTGCTGGTGGGTTCTGAGTGTTTCTCCCTCACATTGGATTCCAGAACACTGCTACGAGGTTCTGAATAATTGTACCTCACATAGGATTCCAGAACACTTGTAAGAGGGTCTCAATGTTTGTCCCTCACATAGGATTCCAGAACACCGCTACAAGAGTCTGAATGTTTGTCCCACGCATAGGACTCCAGAACACTCCTGCTGTTTTCTAAATGTTTGTCCCTCACATAGGATTCCAGAACAATGTTGCCAGGGTCTGAATGTTTGTCCCACAAGTAGGATTCTAGAACACCCCAGCTGTGGTCTGAATGATTGTCCCTCACATAGGATTCCAGAACACTGCTTTTGGATTCTGAGTGTTTGTCCCTCACGTAAGATTACAGAACACTCTCACGTCGGTCTAAAAGTTTGTACTTCACATAGGGATCCATTTCACTGCTACCAGGATCTGAATGTTTGTCTCTCACATAGGATTCCAGAACACTCCTGCTGTGGTCTGAATGTGTGTTCGTCACATAGGATTTTAGAACATTCCCGCTGTGGACTGAATATTAGTCCCTCACATAGGATTCCAGAACACTGCTGTTGGGTTCTGAGTGTTTGCCCCTCACGTTCCAGAAAACTTCCACGTGGGTCTAAAAGTTTATGCCTCACATAGGAATCCATATCACTGTTATCAGGGTCTGAATGTTTGTCCTGCACATAGAATTCCAGAACAGTCCTGTTGTGTTCTAAATGTTTGCTCCTCACATAGGATTTCAGAACATGCCTGCTGTCCTCCGAATGTTTGTCCTTCACTTAGGATTCCAGAACCCTCCGGCTGTGGTACAAAGGTTTGTTCCTCGTATAGGACTTCAGGACACTTCTGCTGTCGTCTGAATATTTGTCCCTCACATAGGATTCCACAACACTCATGCTGTGGTCTGAAGGTTTGTCCCTCACTTATGATTCCAGAACACTGCTACGTGGGTCTAAATGTTTGTCCATCACATAGGATTCCAGAATACTGCTACGAGGGTCTAAATATTTGTCCCTCACATAGGATTCCGGAACACTGCTACGAGGGTCTAAATATTTGTCCCTCACATAGGATTCTGGAACACTCCTTTTGTAGTCTAAATGTTTGCTCCTCACATAGGATTTCAGAACAATCCTGCTGTCTTCTGAAAGTTTGTCCCTCATATAGGATTCCAGAACACTCCTGCTGTGGTCTCAATGTTTGTTCCTCACATAGGATTTCAGAACAATCCTGCTGTGGTCTGAATGTTTGTCCCCCACTTAGGATTCCAGGACACTGCTGTTGGTTCTGAGTATATGTCCCTCACGTACGAATCCAGAACACTGCCATGTGGGTCTAATATTTGGCCCTCACATAGGATTCCAGAACCCTGCTACGAGGGTCTGAAAGTTTGTCCCGCACATAGGACTCCAGAACACTTCTGCTGTTTTCTGAATGTTTCTCCCTCACATAGGATTCTAGAACAATGCTACGAGGGTCTGAATGTTTGTCCCACATGTTGGATTCCAGAACACCTTAGCTGTGGTGTGAATGACTGTCCCTGACATACGATTCCAGAACATTGCTGCAGGGTTCTGCGTGTTTCTCCCTCACATAAGATTCCAGAACACTGCTACGAGAGTATGAATGACTGAACCTCACATAGGATTCCAGAACACTCGTGCTATTGTGTGAGGGTTTGTCCCTCATATAGTATTCCCAAACACAACTGCTGTGGTCTAAATGTTTGTTCCTCGCATAGGATTTCAGAACACTCCTGCTGTCATCTGAATATTTGTACTTCACATAGGATTCCAGAACACTCCTCCTGTTGGGTTCTGAGTGTTTTTCCCTCATGTAGGATTCCAGAACACAGATACATGGGTCGAAATGATTCTCCCTCACATAGGATTCGAGAACACTGCTTTGAGTTTCTGAATATTTGTCCCGCACATAACATTCCAGCACACTTCTGCTGTGGTATAAATGTTTGTTCCTCACATTGGATTTCAGAGGACTCCTACTGTCGTCTGAATGTTTGTGACTCACTTAGGATTCCAGAGCACCCTTGTTGTGGAGTGAATGTTTGTCCCTCACTTAGGATTCCAGAACACTGCTCTTGGGTTCTCAGTGTTTGTCCCACATGTACGATTCCAGAACACTGCTACATGGGTCTAAAGGTTTGTGCCTCACATAGGATTCCAGAATACTGCTACGAGGATCTGAATGTTTGTCCCGCACATAGGATTCCACAACACTCCTGCTGTGGTCTAAATGTTTGTTCCTCACATGGGTTTCAGATCACTCCTGCTGTGGTCTAAAAGTTTGTTCCTCACATATTATTTGAGATCACTGCTGCTGTCGTCTGAATTTTTGTCCCTCACATAGGATTCCACAACACTACTGCTGTGGACTGAATGTATGTCCCTCTCTTAGGATTCCAGAACACTGCTGTTTTGAGTGTTTGTCCCTCACGTAGGATTCCAGAACACTGTTACGTGGGTCTGAATGTTCTTCCCTCAGATAGGATTCCAGAACACTGCTACGAAGTTGTGAATGTTTGTCTTGCACATAGGATTCCAGAACACTCCTGCTGTGTTCTAAATGTTTGTTCCTCACAAAGGATTTCGGAACAATCTTGCTGTCGTCTGAATGTTTGTCCCTCACATAGAATTCCAGAGCACTCCAGCTGTGATCTAAATGTTTGTTTCTCAGGTAGGATTTCAGAACACCCCTGCTGTCTTCAGAAGGTTTGTCCCTCACATGGGATTCCAAAACACTCCTGCTGTGGTCTGAAAGTTTGTTCCTCACTTAGGATTCCAGAACACTGCTGTTGTGTTCTGAGTCTTTGTCCTTCTTGTACGATTCCAGAACACAGCCACGTGGGTCTGAATGTTTGTCCTTCACATATGATTCCAGACGCTGCTACGAGGGACGAAATATTTGTACCACACATAGGACTCCAGAACACTCCTGCTGTGTTCTGAATGTTTGTCCCTCACAAAGGATTCCAGAATACTGCTGCGAGGGTCTGAATGTTTGTCCCACACATAGGATTCCAGAACACTCCTGCAGCGGTCTAAATGTTTGTTCCTCACACAGAGTTTCAGAACAATCCTGCTGTCGTCTGAATTTATGTCCCTCACATAGGATTCCAGAACACTCCAGCTGTGTTCTAAATGCTTGTTCCTCACGTAGGATTACAGAACACTCCTGCTGTCTTCAGAATGTTAGTCCCTCACATAGGACTCCAGAACACTCCTGCTGTGGTCTGAATTTTTGTCCCTCGCTTAGGATTCCAGAACACTGCTGTTGGGTTCTGAGTGTTTGTCCCTCAGGTACGATTCAAGAACACTGCCACGTGGGTCTAAATGTTTGTCCCTCACATAGGATTCCAGACACAGCTACGAGGGTCTGAACTTTTACCCCGCACATAGGACTTCAGAACACTCCTGCTGTGTTCTGAATGTTTGTCCCTCACATAGGATTTCAGAACAATGCTACGATGGTCTGAATGTTTGTCCCACACGTAGGGTCCAGAACACCCCAGCTGTGGTCTGAATGACTGTCCCTGACATGCGATTCCCAAACACCGCCGCTGGGTTCTGAGTGTTTCTCACTTAGATAGGATTCCAGAACACTGATATGAGGGTATCAATGACTGAACCTCACATAGGATTCCAGAACACTCCTGCAATTGTCTGAGTGTTTGTCCCTCACATAGGATTGCTGAACACTCCTGCTGTGGTCTAAATGTTTGTTCCTAACCTAAAATTTTAGAACACTCCTGCTGTCATCTGAATGTTTGTCCCTCACATAAGATTCCACAAGAATGCTACGAGTGTCTGAATGTTTATCCCACACTTAGGATTTCAGAGCACCCCAGTATTGGTCTGAAAGATTGTCTCTCTCATAGGATTCCAGAACACTGCTGGTGGGTTCTGAGTGTTTCTCCCTCACATTGGATTCCAGAACACTGCTACGAGGTTCTGAATGATTGTACCTCACCTAGGATTCCAGAAAACTGCTAGGAGGGTCTGAATGTTTGTCCCTCACATAGGATTCCAGAATATTGCTACGAGGGTCTAAAAGTTTTTCCTCACATAGGACTCCACAACACTCCTGCTTTGTTCTAAATGTCCCTCACATAGGATTCCAGAACAATTCTCCGAGGGTCTGGACGTTTGCCCCACACGTAGGAATCCAGAACACCCCACCTGTGGTCTGAATGATTGTCTCTCACATAAGATTCCAGAACACTGCTGCTGGGTTCTGAATGTTTCTCCCTCACATAGGATTCCAGAACACTGCTACGAGGGTCTGAATGTACGTCACATAGGATTGCAGAACACTCTTGTTAATGTCTGAATGTTTATCCCTCACATAGGATTCCAGAACACTCCTGCTGTGGTCTAAATGTTTGTTCCTCACTAAGGATTTCAGAACATTCCTGTTGTCGTCTGAATGTTTGTCCCTCACATAGGATACCACTACACTCCTGCTGTGGATTGAATGTTTCTCCTTCCTTTAGGGTTCCAGAAAACAGTTTTTGGGTTCTGAGTGTTTGTCCCTCACGTACGATTCAAGAACACTGCTAGGTGGGTCTAAATATTTGTCCCTCACATAGGATTCGAGAACCATGCTACGAGAGTCTGCATGTTTGTCCCACACGTAGGACTCAACAACACTCCTGCTGTGTTCTGAATGTTTGTCCCTCACATAGGATTCCAGAACAATGCTACAAGTGTCTGAATGTTTGTCCCACGCGTAGGATTCCAGGACACCCCAGCTGTGGTCTGAATGACTGTCCCTGACATTCGATTCCAGAGCACTGCTACTGGGTTCTGAGTGTTTCTCCCTCAGATAAGATTTCAGAACACTGCTACGAGGGCATGAATGACTGAACCTCACGTAGGATTCCAGAACACTCCTGCTGTTGTCTGAGTGTTTGTCTCTCACATAGGATTCCTGAACACTCCTGCTGTGGTCGAAATGTTTGTTCCTCACTTATGATTTCAGAATACTCCTGCTGTCATCTGAATGTTTGTACCTCACGTAGGATTCAAGAGACATTGCTGTTGGGTTCTGACTGTGTGTCCCTCACGTAAGATTCAAGTACACAGCTACGTGGGTCTAAATGATTCTCCCTCGTATAGGATTCCAAAACACTGCTATGAGGGTCTGAATGTTTGTCCCACACATAAAATTCCAGAACACTCCTGCTGTGGTATAAATGTTTGTACCTCACATAGGATTTCAGAACATTCCTACTGTCGTCTGAATGTCTGTCCTTCACAGAGGATTGCAGAACACCCCTGCTGTGCACTGACTGTTTGTCCCTCACTCAGAATTCCAGAACACTGCAGTTGGGTCCTGATTGTTTGTCCCTCACGTATGATTCCAGAACATTGCCACTTGGGTCTAAAAGTGTGTTACTCACATAGGAATCAAGAACACTGCTACCAGGGTCTGAATGTTTGTCCCTAACATAGGATTCCATATCACTCCTCCTGTGGTCTAAATGTTTGCTCCTTACATAGGATTTCAGAACCATTCTGCTGTCGTCTGAATGTTTGTCCGGCATATAGGATTCCAGAATTCTCCTGCAGTGGTCTAAATGTTTGTTCCTTACATAGGATTTCAGAACACTCCTGCTGTGGTGTAAATGCTTGTTCCTCACTTAGGATTTCAGAACGCTCCTGCTGTCATCTGAATATTTGTCCCTCACATAGGATTCCAGAACGCTCCTGATGTGGTGTGAATGTTTGTCCCTCACATAGGATTCCATATCATTCCTGCTGTGCTCATATCACACTGCTGCGTGGGTATAAATCTTTGTCCCTCAGATAGGATTCTAGAACACTGCTATGGAGTATGAATGTGTGTCCTGCACATAGGATTCCAGAACACTCCTGTTTTGGTCTGAATATTTGTCCCTCACTTAGGATTCCAGAACACTGCTGTTGGGTGCTGAATGTTTGTCCCTCACAAAGGCTTCCAGAACACAGCTACATGGTTCTAATGTTTGTCCCTCACATAGGATTCCAGAACACTGCTACGAAGGTCTGAATGTTGCTCCCTCACATGGGATTCCAGAACACTCCTGCTGTGGTGTGTTTGTTCCTCACATAAGATTTCACAACACTCCTGCTGTCTTCTGAATGTTTGTCCCTCACATAGGATTCCAGAACATTCCTGCTGTGTACTGAATGTTTGTCCCTCACTTAGGATTCCAGAACACTGTTGGGTTCTGAGTGTTCGTCCCTCACGTATGATTCCAGAACACTGCTACGTGTGTCTAAAGGTTTGTCCCTCACAAAATATTCCAGAACACTGCTATGAGGGTCTGAATGTTTGTCCCACACATGGGATTCCATAACCCTCCTGCTTTGGTCTAAATGTTTCTTCCTCACATAGGATTTCAGAACACTCGCTCTGTCGACTGATGGTCCCTCCCATACGATTAGAGAACAAACCTGCTGTGGTCCAAATGTTTGTTCCTAACATCTGATTTCAGAACACTCCTGCTGTTGTCTGAATGTTTGTCCCTCCCATAGGTTTCCAGAACACTCCTCCTGTGGTCTGAATGTTTGTCCCTCACTTAGGATTCCAGAACAATGCTATCGTGCTCTGAGTGTTGGTCCCTCATGTATGATTCCAGAACACTGTTACATGTGTCTGAATGTTTCTCCCACATATAGGATTCCAGAACACTGGGACGAGGGTCTGAATGTTTGTCCCACACATAGGATTCCAGAACATTCCCGCTGTTGTCGAAATGTTTGTTCCTCACATAGGATTTCAGAACACTCCTGCTGTAGTCTGAATGATTGTCCCTCACATAGGATTCCAGAACAATACTGCTGTGGCCTAAATGTTTGTCCCTCACTTAGGAATCCAGAACACTGCTGTTGGGTTCTGAGTGTATGTACCTCACGTACGATTCCAGAACACTGCTATGTGGGTCTAAATGTTTGTTCTTCACGGAGGATTCGAGCACACTGCTATGAGGTTCTGAATGTTTGTCCCTCACATAGGATTCCAGAACACTCCTGCTGTGGACTGAATGTCCCTAACTTAGGATTCCAGAACACTGTTGTGGGGTTCTGATTGTTTGTCCCTCTCTTACAGTTCCAGAACACTGCTACGTGGCTCTAATGGTTTCTCCGTCACAAAGGATTCCAAACACTGATACAAGGCTCTGAATATTTGTCCTGCACACAGGATTCCAGAACACTAACGCTGTTTTCTAAATATATGTTCTTCACATAGGATTGCAGAACACTCCTGCTGTCGTCTGAATGTTTATCCCTCACATAGGATTCCAGAGAACTCCCGCTGTGGACTGAATGTTTGTCCCTCACTTAGGATTCCAGAACACTACTGTGCGGTTCTGAGTGTTTGTCCCTCACATACGATTCCAGAACACTGCTACATGGGTCTAAATGTTTATTCCTCACCTAGGATTACAGAACACTGCTACGAGGTTCTGAATGTTTGTCCCACACATAGGATTCTAGAACACTCCTACTGTGGTCTAAATGTTGTTCCTCACATAGGATTCCAGAACACTCCTACTGTGGTCTAAATGTTGTTCCTCACATAGGATTCCAGAACACTCCTGCTGTCATCTGAATGTTTGTCCCTCACATAGGATTCCAGAACACCCCTGCTGTGGTACAAATGTTTGCTCCTCACATAGGATTCCAGAACACTGCTACGTGGGTCTAATTATTTGTCTCCCACATAGGATTCCAGAACACTGCTACAAGGGTCTGACTGTTTGTCCCGCACAAAGGACACCAGAACACTCCGGTGGGCTCCGGAAGTATTTTCCTCACATAGGATTCCAGAAAAATGCTACAAGGTTCTGAATTTTATTCCCACACGTTGGATTCCAGAACACCCCAGCTGTGGTCTGAATGATTGTCCTTCACATAGGATTCCTGTACACTGCTACGAGGGTCTGAATGTTTTCCCGCACATAGGACTCCAGAACACTCTTGCAGTATTCTCAATGTATTGTCCTCAATTAGGCTTCTAGAAAAATGCTACGAGGTTCTGAATGTTTGTACCACAGGCAGGATTCCAGAACACCCTAGCTGTGGTCCTAATGATTGTCCATCACATAGGATTCCAGAACACTGCTATTGGGTTCTCAGTGTTTCTACCTCACATAGGATTCCAGAACAATGCTATGAGGATCTGAATGATTGTACATCACATAGGATTCCAGAACACTCCTGCTGTTGTCTGAATATTTGTTCCTCAGGTAGGATTCGAGAACACTGCTGCTGGGTTCTGAGAGTTAGTCCCTCACATAGGATTCCAGAACCCTGCTGCTGTGGTCTGAATGTTTGTCCCTCACATAGGATTCCAGAACACTACTGCTGTGGTCTGTATGGTTGACCCTCAAATTGGATTCCAGAACACTCCTGCTTTTGTCACGGTGTTTGTATCTTACATCGGATTCCAGAAAAATCTTGCTGTGGTCTGAATATTTCTCTCTCACATAGGATTGCAAAACATTCCTGCTGTGGTCTGAGTGTTTGTTCCTTAAATAGGATTCCGGAACACTGCTGCTGTGGTCAGAATCTTTGTTCCTCACATAGGATTCCAGAACACTCCTACTGTGAGCTGAATGTTTGTCTCTCATATAGTATTCCAGGACACTACTGCTGTGTTCTGAATGGTTGACCCTCACATAGCATTCCAGAACACCCCTCCTGTGTTTTGGGTGTTTTTGCCTCACATGGGATTCGAAAACAATCCTGCTGTTGTCTGAATGTTTCTCCTTCACATAGGATTCCAAACATTCCTGCTCTGGTCTGAGTGTTGGTCCCTCAAATGGAATTCCAGAATAATGGTACTGAGTTCTGAGTTTTGTCCCTCACATTGGATTCAAGAACACTGCCACGAGGGTCTCAATTATTCTACCTCGCAGAGGATTCCAGAACACCCCTGCTGTGGTCTGAATGTTTGTCCCTCACTTAGGTTTCCAGAACTCTGCTGTTGGATTCTGAGTGTTTGTCCCTCAGGTACGATTGCAGAACACTGGTATATGGGTCTAAATGTTTGGCCCTCACATAGGATTCCAGAACACTGCTACGAGGGTCTGAATGTTTGTCCTGCTGATAGGATTCCAGAACACTCCTGCAGTGTTCTGAATGTATTTTCCTCACGAGATTCCAGAACAATGCTACGAGGGTCTTAATGTTTATCCCTCACATGGGATTCCAGAACACCTCAGCTGTGGTCTGAATGGTTGTCTCTCACATAGGATTCCAGAACACTGCTGTTGGGTTCTGAGTGTTTCTTCCTCATATAGGATTCCAGAACACTGCTATTGGGGTCTGAATATTTATCCCTACATAGTGTTCCAGAATACTGCTACGAGGGTCTCAATTATTCTGCCTCACTTAGGATTCCAGAACACTCCCGCTGTGGTCTGAATGTTTGTCCCTCACTTAGGATTCCAGAACACTGCTGTTGGGTTCTGAGTGTTTGTCCCTCACTTATGCTTCAAGAACACTGCTACGTGGGTCTAAATGTTTGTCCCTTACAGAGGATTCCGCAGCACTTATACGTGGGTCTGAATGTTTGTCCCGCACATTGGACTCCAGAACACTCCTGCTGTGTTCTGAATGTATTTACTCACATCGGATTCCAGAACAATGCTACAAGGGTCTAAATGTTTGTCTCACACGTAGGATTCCAGAAAACCAAAGCTGTGACCTGAATGATTCTCCCTTACATAGGATTCCAGAAGACTGCTGCTGATTTCTGTGTTTTTCTCTCTCACATAGGATACCACAGCACTGCTACGAGGATCTGAATGATTGTTCCTCACATAAGATTCCAGAACACTCCTGCTCTGATCTAAATGTTTATCCCTCAGATGGGATTCCAGAACACTGCTGCTGTGGTCAGAATCTTTGTTCCTCACATAGGATTCCAGAACACTCCTGCTGTGAACTGAATGTTTGTCTCTCATATAGTATTCCAGGACACTACTGCTGTGTTCTGAATGGTTGACCCTCACATAGGATTCCAGAACACCCCTCCTGCGTTCTGGGTGTTTTTGCCTCACATGGAATTCCAGAACAATCCTGCTGTGGTCTGAATGTTTCTCCCCCACATAGGATTCCAAAACTTTCCTGCTGTGGTCTGAATGTTTGTCCCTCAAATAGTATTCTGGAACACTGCTACTGTGTTCTAAGTGTTTCTCCACCGTATAGCATCCCAGAACACTGCCACTTGGGTCTAAATGTTTCCCCCTCACGTAGGATTCCAGAACAGTGCTACAAGGGGCTGAATTTTTGTCCCGCACATAGGACTCCAGAACACTCATGCTGTTTCCTGAATGCATTTTCCTCACCTAGGACTCCACAACAATGGTACGATGGTCTGAATGTTTGCCCCTGAAGTAGGATTCCAGAAAACCCGAGCTGTGGTCTGAATGTTTTTCCCTCACATAGGATTCCACAACACTTCTACTGGGGTCTGATTTGTCCCTCTCATAGGATTCCAGAACACTGCTAAGAGGGTCTGAATTATTCACCCTCACATTGGATTCCAGAACACTCCTGCTGTGGTCTGATTGTTTTTCACCAACTTAGGATTACAGAACACTCCTTTTTTTTTTTTGAGTGTTTGTCCCTCACGTACAATTCAAGAACACTGCTATGTGGGTCTAAATGTTTGTCCTCACTTAGAATTCCAGAGCACTGTTACGAGGGCCTGAATTTTTGTCCCCCACAAGGGACTCCAGAACTCTTCTGCTGTGTTCTGAATGTATTTTCCTCACATAGGATTCCAGAGCAAGGCTACGAGGGTCTGAAAGTTTGTCCCACACTTAGGATACCAGAACACCACAGCTGTGGTCTCAATGATTGTCCCTCACATGGGATTCCAGAACTCCGCTGCTGGGTTCTGAGTGTTTCTCCCTCATATATGATTCCAGAAATCTCCTATTCTGGTCTGAATGTTTGACCCTCAGTTAGGATTCCAGAACACTGCAGTTGGTTTTTGAGTGTTTGTCTCACACCTACGATTCCAGAAAACTGCTAAATGGTTCTGAAGGTTTGTCCTCATATGGGATTCCAGAACATGGCTATGAGGTTCTCAATTATTGTACCTCACATAGGATTGCAGAACACTCCTGCTGTGGTCTGAATGTTGTCCCTGAGATACGATTCCAGAACACTGCTTTTGGGTTCTGAGTGTTTGTCCCTCATATAGGATTCCAGAACAATGCTGCTGCAGTCTGAATGTTTATCCCTCACATAGGATTCCAGAACAATCCTGCTGTGGTCTGAATGTTTGTCCCACATATAGGATTTCAGAACACTACAGCTGTGGTCTGAATGGTTGACCCTCACATAGGAATCCAGAACAATCCTGCTGTCGTCTGAATGTTTCTCCCTCACATAGGATTCCAAAAACATTCCTGCAGTGGTCTGAGTGTTTGTCCCTCAAACAGGATTCCAGACACTGCTACTGGGGTCTGAATGTTTGTCCCTCATATAGGATTACAGAATACTGCTATGAGGGTCTGAATTATTCTCCCTCACATAAGATTCCAAACACTCCTGATGTGGTCTGAATATTTCTCTCTCACTTAGGATTCCAGAACCCTGCTGTTGGGTTCTGAGTGTTTGTCCCTCACGTATGATTCCAGAACACCGCTACGTGTGTCTAAATGTTTTTCCTTCACATAGGATTCCAGAACAATGCTACGGGGATCTGAATGTTTGTCCCACACATTGGACTGCGGAAAACTCCTTCTGTATTCTGAATGAATTTTCCACACATAGCATTGCAGTACAATCCTACGAGGGTAGGAATGTTTGTCCCACAATAGGGTTCCAGAACACCCCAGCTGTCATGTGAATGGTTGACCATCACATAAGACTCCAGAACACTCCTGCTGTGGTCTGGGTGTTTGTGCCTCACATGGGATTCCAGAACCATCCTACTGTGGTCTGAATGTTTCCCCTTCACATAGGATTCCAAAACATTCCTGCCATGGTCTGATGGTTTTTCCTTCAAATTGGATTCCAGAACACTGCTACTGGGGTCTGAAAGTTTGTCCCTCACATAGGATTCCACAACACTGCTACGAGGGTCTGAATTATTCTCCCTCACAAAGGATTCCAGAACACTCCTACTGTGGTCTGAATGTTTGTCCCTCAATTCAGATTCCAGAACACTGCTGTTGGTTTCTCAGTGTTTGTCCCTTACGTACGATTCCAGAAGACTGCAACATTGGTCTAAATGTTTGCCCCTTCACATAGGATTCCAGAGCACTTCTACGAAAGTCTGAATGTTTGTCCCTTACATAGGACTCCAGAACACTCCTGCTGTGTTCCGAATGTATTTTCCTGTCATAGGATTCCAGAACAATGCTACGAGGGTCTGAATGTTTGTCCCACACATAGGATGTCAGAACACCCTAGCTTTAGGTCTGAATGATTGTCCCTCACAAAAGACTCCAGAAAAGTTCTGCTGGTTCTGAATGTTTCTCTCTCCCATAGGTCTCCAGAACACTGCTACGAGTGTCTGAATGATTGTACCTCACATAGGATTCCAGACCACTCCTGCTCTGGTCTGAATGTTTTTCATTCAAATAGGATTCCAGAACACTGCTGCTGTGGGCTGAATGTTTCTTCCTCACATAGGATTCGAGAACATTCCTGCTGTGGTCTGAATGTTTGTCCCTCATATAGGACTCCAGATCACTACTGCTGTGGTCTGAATGGTTGACCTCACATAGGATTCCAGAACACTCCTGCTGTGGTTTGGCTGTATGTGCATCACAAAGGATTCAAGAACAATCCTACTGTGGTCTGAATGTTTCTCCCTCATATAGGATTCCAAACATTCCTGCTCTGGTCTGAGTGTTGTTCCCTCAAATGGAATTCCAGAATAATGGTACTGAGTTCTGAGTTTTTATCCCTCACATTGGATACAAGAACACTGTCACGAGAGTCTCAATTATTCTACCTCACAGAGGATTCCAGAACACCCCTGCTGTGGTCTGAATGTTTGTCCGTCACTTAAGTTTCCAGAACTCTGCTGTTGGGTTCTGAGTGTTCGTCCCTCAGGTAAGATTACAGAACACTGCTACGTGGGTCTAAATGTTTGGCCCTCACATAGCATCCCAGAACACTGTTACGAGGGTCTGAAAGTTTGTCCCACTCATAGGATTCCAGAACACTCCTGAAGTGCTCTGAATGTATTTTCCTCACATGGGATTCCAGAACAATGCTACGAGGGTTTGAATGTTTGTCCCACAAGCAGGATTCCAGAACACTCCAGCTGTGGTCTGAATGATTGTCCCTCACATAGGATTCCAGAACACTGCTGCTGGGTTCTGAGTGTTTCTCCCTCACATAAGATTCCAGAACACTGCTACCGGGATCTGTATGTTTGTCCCTCACATAGTGTTCCAGAATAGTGCTACGAGTGTCTCAATTATTCTCCCTCACATAGGATTCCAGAAAACTCCTGCTGTGGTCTGAATGTTTGTCCCTCACTTAGGATTCCAGAACACTGCTGTTGTGTTCTGAGTGTTTGTCCCTCACATATGCTTCCAGAACAATGTTACCTGGGTCTAAATGTTTGTCCTTCACATAGGATTCCAGAACACAGCTACGTGGGTCTGAATGTTTGTCCCGCAAGTAGGATTCCAGAAGAGCAAAGCTGTGGTATGAATGATTGTCCCTCACATAGGATTCCAGAACATTGCTGCTGGTTTTTGTGTGTTTCTCCCTCACATAGGATACCACAACACTGCTACATGGATCTGAATGATTGCACCTCACAAAGGATGCCAGAACACTCCTGCTCTGGTTTGAATCTTTGTCCCTCAGTTAGGATTCTAGAACACTGCTGCTGTGTTCTGAGTGTTTTTCCCTGACATAGGATTCTAGAATACTGCTGCTGTGTCTGAAGGTTTGTTCCTCACACAGGACTCCAGAAAAATCCTGCTCTGGACTGAATGTTTGTCCCTCATATTGGATTCCAGAACGCTGCTGCAGTTGTCTGAATGGTTGACCCTCACATAGAATTCCAGAACATCCCTGCTTTGGTCTGGGTGTTTTTGCCTTACATGGGATTCCAGAAGAATCTTGCTGTAGTCTGAATGTTTCTCCCTCACATAGGATTCCAAAACTTTTCTGCTGTGGTCTCAGTGTTTGTCCCTCAAGTAGGATTCCAGAGCACTGTTACTGGTTTCTGAGTGTTTATCAATCACATAGGATTCCAGAACACTGCTATGTGGGTCTAAATATTTTTCCATCACATAGGATTCCAGAACACTGCTACGAGGGTCTGAATTTTTGTCCGGCACATAGGACTCCAGAACACTCCTGCTGAGTCCTGAATGTATTTTCCTCACATAGGATTCCACAACAATGCTTCGAGGCTCTGAATGTTTGTCCTACACGTAGGATTCCAGAACAACCCAGCTGTGGTCTGAAAGATTGTTCCCCACATAAAATTCCAGAACACTTCTACTGGAGTCTGAATGTTTGTCTTTCACATAGGGTTCCAGAACACTGCTACGAGGGTCTGAATTACTCTCCCTCACATTGGATTCCAGAAAACTCCTTCTGTGGTCTGATTGTTTGTCCCTCACTTAGGATTACAGAACACTGCTGTTTTATTTTTTTGAGTGTTTGTCCCTCACGTACGATTCCAGAACAGTGCTATGAGTGTCTGAATTTCTGTCCTGCACATAGGAATCCAGAACGCCCCTGCTGTGTTCTGAATGTATTTTCCTCACATAAGATTCCAGAATTGTGCTACTAGTGTCTGAATGCTTTTCCCACACTTAGGATTCCAGAACACCACAGCTGTGGTCTGAATGATTGCCACTCAAATAGGATTACAGAACACTGATTCTGGGTTCTGAGTGTTTCTCCCTCACATAGGATTCCAGAACATTCCTGTTCTGGTTTGAATGTTTGTCCCTCACTTAGGATTCTAGAACACTGCTGTTGGGTTCTGAGTTTTTGTCCCTCACGTACGATTCCAGAACACTGCTATGTGGATCTAAAGGTTTTTCCTCACATAGGATTCCAGAACACGGCTATGAGGGGATGAATGATTGTCCTTCACATGGGATTCCAGTATACTGCTGGAGGGTTCTGAGAGTTTCTCCCTCACATACGATTCGAGAACACTGCTACAAGGCTCTGAATGATTGTACCTCACATGGAATTCCAGAGAACTCTTGCTCTCATCTGAATGTTTGTCCCTCAGATAGCATTCCAGAACACTGCTACTGGGTTCTGAGTGTTTGTCCCTCACATAAGATTCCAGATCACTCCTGCTGTGGCCCGAATGTTTGTTCCTCACATAGTATTCCAGAACACTCCTGCTGTGGTCTGAATGTTTCTCCCTCATATAGGATTATAGAACATTACCGCTGTGGTCTGATGGTTGACCCTCACATAGGATTCCAGAACACTCTTGCTGGGTTCTGGGTGTTTGTGCCTCACATGGGATTCCAGAACAATCCCCCTGTGGTCTGAATGATTGTCCCTCACATAGGATTCTGGAACACTGCTGCAGGGCTCTGAGTATTTCCCCCTCACATAGGATTACAGAACATTGCTACTGGGGTCTGAATGTTTGTCCCTCACAAAGGATTCGAGAACACTGCTACGATGGTCTGAATTATTCTTCCTCACATAGGATTCTAGAAAACTCCTGCTGTGGTCTGAATGTTTGTCCATCACTTAGGATTCCAGAACACTGTTGTTGCATTCTGAGTGTTTTTCCCTCACGTAGGATTCCAGAAAACTCCTGCTGTTTTCTGAATGTATTTTCCTCACATGGGATTCCAGAACAATGCTAAGAGGGTCTGAATGTTTGTCCCACACGCAGGATTCCAGAACATGCCAGATGTGATCTGAATGATTGTCCCTCAAATAGGATTCCAGAACAGTGCTGCTGTGGTCTGAATGTTTGTTCCTCATATAGGGAAGGACAAACATGTAGACCCACGTAACATTTTTCTGGATTCATAGAAGAGGGACAAACTCTTAGAACCCAACAGCAGTGTTCTGGAATCCTCAGTGAGGGACAAACATTCAGACCACAGCAGGAGGATTGTGGAATCCTATCTGAGGGAGAAACACTCAGAACCCAGCAGCAATGTTCTGGAATCCTATGTGATGGATAATCATTCAGACCACAGCTGGGGTTTCCTGCAATTCTACATGCAAGACAAGCATTCAGACCCTCGTAGCATTGTTCTGGAATCCTATGTGAGGACAATGCATTCAGAACACAGCAGGAGTGATATGGAGTCCTATGTGTGGGACAAACATTCAGACCATGTTAGCAGTGTTCTGGAATCCTATGTTAGGGACAAGCATTTAGACACATGCTGCAGTGTTATGGAATTGTACGTGAGGGACAAATACTCAAAACCCAACAACTGTGTTCTGGAATCCTAGGTGAGGGAGAAAAATTCAGAACCTCATAGCAGAGTTCTGGAATCCTATGTGAGGGACAAACATTCAGACACCAGTACCAGTGTTCTGGAATCCTATTTGAAGGAGAAACACTCAGAAAACAGCAGGAAGGTTTTAATGCTATGTAAGAAACATTCAGACCACAGCAGGATTGTTCTGGAATCCCATGTGAGGTGCAAACACCTAGACCACAGCAGGAGTGTTCGGGAATCCTATATTAGGGACAACCATTCCGACCACAGCAGTAGTGTTCTGGATTCCTGTATGAGGGACAAACCTTAAGACCACAGCAAGAGTGATCTGGAATCCTATGTGAGGAACAAACATTCAGACCACAGCAGCAGTGTTCTGGAACCCTATGTGAGGGACAAACACTCAGAAGCCCACAGCAGTCTTCTGGAATCCTATCTGAGGGAAAAACATTCACAGCAGGGCAGGAGTTTTCTGGAATCCTATGTGAGGTACAATCATTCAGACCATCGTAGCAGTGTTCTGGAATTTTAAGTGAGGGAGAAACACTCAGAAACTAGCAGCAGTGTTCTGGAATCTTATGTGAGGGAGAGTAATTCAGACCCTCGTAGCAGTGTTCTGGAATCCTATGTGAGAGACAAGCATTCAGACCCCAGTAGCAGTGTTGTGGAATCCTATGCGAGGTAGAAACACTCAGAACCCAGCAGCAGAGTTCCGGAATCCTATGTGAGGGACAATCATTCAGACCACAGCAGGGTGTTCTGGAATATTAAGTATGGGACAAACATTCAGACCCTAGTAGCATTGTTCTGGAATCCTATGTAAGGAAAATACATTCAAAGCACAGCAGGAGTGTTCTGGAGTCCTATGTGCGTGACAAACATTCAGACCCTCGTAGCAGTCTTCTGGAATCCTACGTGAAGGAAAAACATTTAGTCCCACGTAGAAGTGTTCTGGAATCATACGTGAGGGAGAAACACTCAGAACGCAACAGCAGTGATCTGGAATCCTAAGTGGGAGATAAACATTCAGATCACAGCGAGTGTTCTGGAACCCTATGTGAGGGGGAGATGCTCAGAACCCAGCAGCAGTGTTACGGAGTCTTATGTGAGGGACAATTATTCAGATCACAGCTGGGGTGTTCTGGAATCCTACGTGTGGGACAAACTTTCAGACCCTTGTAGCATTGTACTGGAATCCTATGTGAGGAAAATACATTCAGAACACAGCAGGAGTGTTCTGGAGTCCTACGTGCAGGACAAACATTCAGACCCTTGTAGCAGTGTTCTGAAATCCTATGTGAGGGATAAAAATTTAGACCCACGTCTCAGTGTTCTGGAGTCATACGTGAGGGACAAACAGACAGAACTCAACAGCAGTGTTCTGGAATCCTAAGTGAAGGACAAACATTGAGACCACAGTAGGAGTGTTCTGGAATCCTATGTGAGGGAGAATAATTAAGACCCTCATAGCAGTGTACTGGAATCCTATGTGAGGAACAAATATTCACACCCGAGTTGCAGTGTTCTGGAATACTTTTTGAGGGACAAACATTCACACTAGAGAAGGAATGTTTTGGAATCATATGTGAGGGAGAAATATTCAGACCACAGCAGGATTGTTCTGGAATCCCATGTGAGGCGCAAACACCTAGACCACAGCAGGGGTGTTCTGGAATGCTACGTGAGGGTCAACCATTCAGAAAACAACAGTAGTGTTTGGGAATCCTATATGAGGTACACACATTCAGAACAGAGTGGGAGTGTTCTGCAATCTTACCTGAGGAACAAACATTCAGACCACAGCAGCAGTGTTCTAGAATCCTATGTGAGGGACAACAACTAAGAACACAGCAGCAGTGTTCTGGAATCCTATCTGAGGAACCAACATTCAAAACAGAGCTGGAGAGTTCTGGAATCCTCTGTGAGGTACAATCATTCAGATTCTCGAACAGCGTTCTGGAATCCTATGTTAGGGAGAATAATTCAGACCCTTGCAGCAGTGTTCTGGAATCCTATGTGCGGGACAAACATTCAGACCCCAGTAGCATTGTTCTGGAATCCTACATGAGGGACAAACTCTCAGGACCCAACAGCAGTGTTCTGGAATCCTAAGTAAGGGACAAACATTCTGACCACAGCAGGAATGTTCTGGAATCCTACCTGAGGGACAATAATTAAGACCCTCATAGCAGTATTCTGGAATCCTATGTGAGGGACAAACATCCAGACCCCAGTAGCAGTGTTCTGGAATCCTATGTGAGGGACAAACACTCAGCACCCCGCAGCAGTGTTCTGGAATTCTATATGAAGCACAAACATTCAGATCACAGCAGGAGTGTTCTGGAATCCTATGTGATTAACGAACATTCAGACAACAGCAGCAATGTTCTGGAATACTATGTGAGGGACAAACACTCAGAATCTAGCAGCAGTGTCTGGAATCCTATCAGAGGGGCAAACATTCAGACCACAGCAGGAGGGTTCTGGAATCCTGTGTGAGGTACAATCATTCAGACTCTCGTAGTAGTGTTCTGGAATCCTGTGTGAGGGAGAAACACTCAGAACCCAGTAGCAGTGTTCTGGCACTGTATGTGAGGGACAATCATTGAGACCTCAGCAGGGGTGTTCTGGAATCCTACATGTGGGACAAACATTCAGACCCTCGTAGCATTGTTGTGGAATCCTATGTGAGGAAAATACGTTCAGAAAACAGCAGGATTGTTCTGGAGTCCTATGTGCGGTACATTCAGACCCTCGTAGTAGTGTTCTTGAATTCTATGTGACGGACAAACATTTAGAGCCACGTAGCAGTGTTCTGGAATCGTGTGTGTGGGACAAACACTCAGAACCCAAAAACAGTGTTCTGGAATAATAAGATAGGGACAAACATTCAGACCACAGCAGGAGTGTTCTAGAATCTTAAGTTCGGGAGAATAATTCAGACGCTCTTAGCAGTGTTCTGGAATCCTATGTGAGGGACAATCATTCACACCCCAGTAGCAGTGTTCCGGAATCCTATTTTAGGGAGAAACACTCAGACCACAGCAGGAATGTTTTGGAAACCTATGTGAGGGAGAAACATTCAGACAACAGCAGGTTTGTTCTAGAATCCCATGTGAGGTACAAACACCCAGACCAAAGCAGGATTGTACTGGAATCCTATATGAGGTTCAACCATTGAGACCACAGCAGGAGTGTTCTGAAATCCTGTGTGATGAACAGACATTCAGAAGACAGGAGCAGTGTTCTGGAATCTTATGTGAGTGACAAACACTCAGAACCAAGCAGTAGTGTTCTGGAATCCTATCTGAGAGACAAACATTCAGAACACAGCAGGAGTGTTCTGGAATCCTATGTGAGGTACAATCATTCAGACATTCGTAGCAGTGTTCTGGAATCCTATTTGAGGGAGAAACACTCAGAACCCAGAAGCAGTGTTCTGGAATCCTATGTGAGGGACAATCATTCAGACCACAGCTAAGGTGTTCTGGAATCCTATGTGTGGGACAAATATTTGGACCCTCGTAGCATTGTTCTGCAATCCTGTGTGAGGAAAATACATTCAGAACACAGCAGGGGTGCTCTGGAGTCCAATGTGCGGGACAAACATTCATGCCCTTGTAGCAGTGTTCTGGAATACTATGTAAGGGACAAACTTTTAGACCCATGTAGCAGTGTTCTGGAATCGTAAGTGAGGGACACTCAGAAGCCAACAGCAGTGTTCTGGAATCCTAAGTGAGGGACAAACGTTCAGACATCAGCAGTATTGTTCTGGAATCCTATGTGAAGGAGAATAATTCAAACCCTTGTAGCAGTGTTCTGGAATCCCACGTGAGGGAGAAACACTCAGAACCAGCAGCAGTGTTCCAGAAACCTATGTGAGGGACAATCATTGAGACCACAGCAGGGGTGTTCTGGAGTCCTACGTGTGGAACAAACATTCAGACCCTGTTAGCATTGTCCTTGAATCCTATGTGAGGAAAATACATTCAGAACACTACAGTAGTGTTTTGGAGTCCTCTGTGTGGGAGAAACATTCAGACCCTCGTAGCAGTGTTCTGAAATCGTATGTGAGGGACAAACATTTAGACCCACACAGCAGTGTTCTGGAATCATACATGAGGGACAAACACTCAGAACTCAACAGCAGTGTTCTGGAGTCCTAAGTGAGGGACAAATATTCAGAAAACAGCAGGAATGTTCTGGAATCCTATGTGAGGAACAAACATTCAGACCACAGCAGAAGGGTTCTGCAGTCCCATGTGAGAGACAAACCCTCAGAACCCAGCAGCAGTGTTCTGGAATCTTATCTGGGGACAAACATTCAGACCAGAGCCGGAGTGTTCTGGAATCCTATGTGAGGGAGAAAACCTCAGAACCCAGCAGCTGTGTTCTGGAATCCTATGTGAGGGACAATCATTCAGATCACAGCTGGGGTGTTCTGCAATCCTACTTGTGGGACAAACATTCATAGCCTCGTAGTATTCTTCTGGAATCCTACGTATGGAAAAAATATTCAGGACACTGCAGGAGTATTCTGGAGTCATAAGAGCTTGACATACATTCAGACACTTGTAGCAGTGTTCTGAAATCCTATGTGAGAGATAAACATTGAGACCCCAGTAGCAGTGTTATGGAATACTATGTGAGGGAGAAACACTCAGAACCCAGCAGCAGTGTTCTGGAATCCTATGGGAAGGATAATCATTCAGACCACAGCTCGGGTGTTCTGGAATCCTACGTGTGAGACAAACATTCAGACCCTCATAGCACTGTTTTGGAATCCTATGTGAAGAAAATACATTCAGAACACATCAGGATTGTTCTGGAGTCCTATGAGCGGGAGAAACATTCATACCCTCGTAGCAGTGTTCTGCAACCCTATGTGAGTGACCAACATTTAGACCCACATAGCAGTGTTCTGGAATCGTATGTGACGGACAAAAACTCAGAACTCAACAACAGTATTCTGGAATCGTAACTGAGGGACAAACATTCCGACCACAGCAGGAGTGTTCTGCAATCATATGTGAGGGAGAATAATTCAGACCCTCTTAGTATTGTTCTGGAACCCTAAGTGAGGGACAAACATTCAGACCCCAGTGGAAATTTTATGGAATCCTATTTGAGGGACAAACACTGAGACCAGAGCAGGAATGCTTTGGTATCCTATGTGGGGGAGAAACATTCAGACCACAGAAGGATTGTTCTGGAAATCCATGTGAGGCACAAACACCCAGACCACAACAGCAGTACTCTGGAATCCTATGTGAGGGTCAACCATTCACACCTGAGCAGTTGTGTTCTGGAATCCTATATGAGGGAGAAAAATTCAGACCACAGCAGGAGTGTTCTGGAGTGCTATGTGAGAAACAAACATTCAGACCGCAGCAGCAGTGTTCTGGAATCCTATGTGAGGGACAGACACTCAGAACCCAGCAGCAGTGTTCTGGAATCCCATCTGAGGGACAAACATTCAGAGCAGAGCAGGAGTGTTCTGGAATCCTATGTGAGGTACAATCATTCAGACCCTTGTAGCAGTGTTCTGGAATTCTCTGTGAGGAGATACACTGAGAACCCAAAAACAGTGTTCTGGAATCCTTTGAGAGTGAGAGTAATTCAGACCCTCGTTGCAGGGTTCTGGAATCCTATGTGAGAGACAAACATTCAGATCCCTGTAGCAGTGTTCTGGAATCCTATGTGAGGGGCAAAATTTCAGATCCCCGTAGCAGTGTTCCGGAATCCTATATGTGGGAGAAACACTCAGAAACCAGCAGCAGTGTTCTGTAATCCTTTGTGAGAGACAGTCAATCAGACCACTGCTGGGGTGTTCTGGAATACTAAGTGTGGGACAAACATTCAGACCCTCGTAGCATTGTTGTGGAATCCTATGTGAGGAAAATACATTCAGAACACAGCAGGAGTGTTCTGGAGTCCTATGTGCGGGACTAACATTCAGACCCTCATAGCAGTGTTCAGATAGCCTATGTGAGGGACAAACATTTAGACCCACGTAGTTATGTTCTGGAATCGTACGTGAAGGACAAACACTCAGAACCCAACAGCAGTGATCTGGAATCCTAAGTGAGGGACAAATATTCACAACACAGCAAGAGTGTTCTGGAATCCTACTTGACGGGGAAACACTCAGAACGCAGCAGCAATGTTCTGGAATCCTATGTGAGGGACAGTCATTCAGAACACAGCTGGGGTGTTCTGGAATCCTACGTGTGGGACAAACATTCAGACCCTCGTAGCATTGTACTGGAATCCTACGTGAGGAAAATACATTCTGAACACAGCAGGAGTGTTCTGGAGTCCTATTGGGGGGACAAACATTCAGACCCTCTTAGAAGTGTTCTGGAATCCTATGAGAGGGACAAACATTTAGACCCTCTTAGAAGTGTTCTGGAATCCTATGAGAGGGACAAACATTTAGACCCTCTTAGAAGTGTTCTGGAATCCTATGAGAGGGACAAACATTTAGACCCTCTTAGAAGTGTTCTGGAATCCTATGAGAGGGACAAACATTTAGACCCTCTTAGAAGTGTTCTGGAATCCTATGAGAGGGACAAACATTTAGACCCTCTAGTAGCAGTGTCCTCGAATACTATGTGCGGGACAAATATTCAGACTGCAGTAGCAGTGTTCTGGAATCATAAGTGAGTGACAATCACTTAGAAACCAACAGCAGTGTCCTGGAATCCTAAGTGAAGGACAAACTTTCAGAAGAAAGCAGGTGTGTTCTGGAATCCTATGTGAGGGGCAGTAATTCAGACCCTCGTAACAGTGTGCTGGAATCCTACGTGAGGGACAAACATTCAGACCCCAGTAGCAGTGTTCTGTATTCCTATTTGAGGGACAAACACACAGACCACAGCAGGAATGCTTTGGAATCCTATAAGAGTGAGTAACATTCAGACCACAGCAGGATTGTTCTGGAAACCCATGTGAGGCACAAACACCCAGACCACAACAGGATTGTTCTGGAATCCTATGTGAGGGATCAACACACAGAACCCAGCAGCAGTGTTCTGGAATCCTATTTGAGGGACAGTCCTGCAGACCACAGCTCTGACGTTCTGGAATCCTACGTGTGGGACAAACATTCAGACCCTTGTAGCATTGTTCTGCAATCCTATGTGAGGAAAATACATTAAGAACACAGCAGGAGTGTTATGGAGTCCTACGGGCAGAACAAACATTGAGACCCTCGCAACAGTGTTCTGGAATAGTTTGTGAGGGACAAACATTTAGACACATGTAGCAGTATTCTGGAATCGTACTTGAGGGAGAAACACTCAGAATCCAACAGCAGTGTTCTGGAATCCTAAGTGAGGAACAAACATTCAGACCACAACAGGAGTGTTCTGAAATCCTATGAGAAGGAGAATAATTCAGACCCTCGTAGAAGTGTTCTGGAATCCTATGTTAGGGACAAACATTCAGACCGCAGTAGCAGTGTTCTGGAATCCCACGTGAGGGATAAACACTCAGACCACAACAAGAATGTTTTGGAATCCTATGTGAGGGAGAAACATTCAGACGACAGCAGGATTATTCTGGAATCCCATATGAGGCACAAACACCCAGACCACAGAAGGAGGGTTCTGGAATCCTTTGTGATGGTCAAACATTCAGACCACAATAGTCATGTTCTGGAACCCAATAGGAGGAAAAAACTTTCAGACCACAACTGGAGTGTCCTGGAATCCTATGTGAGGAACAAACACTCAGACCACAGCAGCAGTGTTCTGGAATCCTACGTGAGAAACAAACATTTAGACTCACGTAGCAGTGTTCTGGCCTCATACGTGAGGGACAGACACTCAGAAACCAATAGCAGTGTTCTGTCATCCTAACTGAGGGACAAACATTCAGACAACAACAGGAATGTTCTGGAATCCTATGGGAGGGAGAAACACTCAGAACTCAGCAGCAGTGATCTGGAATCCTAAGTGAGGGACAAACATTCATACCACAGCACGAGTGTTCCAGAATCCTATGTAAGGAAGAATAATTCAGACCCTCGGATCAGTGTTCTGGACTCCTATGTGAGGGACAAACATTCAGAACCCAGTAGCAGTGTTCTGGAATCCTATGTGAGGGACAAGCACTCAGAACCCAGCAGCAAGGTTCTGGAATCCTATGTGAGGGACAGTCACTCAGACCACCCCTGGGGTGGTCTGCAATCCTACGTGTGGGTCAAGCATTCAGACCCTCGTAGCATTGTTCTAGAATTTTATGCTAGGAAAATACATTCAGAAAACAGCAGGAGTGTTCTGAAGTCCTACGTGTGGTGCAAACATTCAGACCCTCGTAGCAGTGTTCTGGAGTCCTATGTGCCTGGGAAACATTCAGACCCTCATAGCAGTGTTCTGGAATCCTATGTGAGGGACAAGCATTTGGACCCACGCAGCAGTGTTCTGCAATCGTACGCGAGGGAGAAACTCTCAGAATCCAACAGCAGAGTTCTGTAATCCTAAGTGAGGGACAAACGTTCATACAACAGCAGGAGTGTTCTGGAATCCTAAGTGAGGAACAAACATTCAGACTCCTGCCGGTGTGTTCTGGAATCCTATGAGAGGGAGAATAATTTAAACACTCCTAGCAGTGTTCTGGAATCCTACGTGATGGACCAACATTCAGACAACAGCAGGAGTGTTCTGGAATCCTACGTGTGGGAAAAAATATTCAGATCCTCGTAGCAGTGTTCTGGAATCCTATGTGAGGGTCAAACATTTAGATCCACGTAGCAGTGCTGTGGAATTTTATGTCAGGGACAAACACTCAGAACCCACAGAAGTGTTCTGGAGTCCTAAGTGAGGGACAAACATTCAGTCCACAGCAGGAGTGTTATGGAATCCTATGTGAGGGAGAATAATACAGACACAAGTAGCAGTGTCCTGGAATCGTATGTGAGGGACAAACACCCAGAACTGAACAGCCGTGTTCTGGAATCCGAAGTGAAGTACAAACATTTAGACCACAGCAGGAGTTTTCTCGAATCCTATGTGAGGGAGAATAATTCAGATGCTCGTAGCAGTGTTCTGGAATCCTATCTGAGGGAAAAATATTCATAACACAGCACGAGTGTTCTGCAATCCTATGTGTGGGACAAATATTCAGACCACAGCAGGAGTGCTCAGCAATCCTATCTGAGGGACAAACATTCAGAACACAGCAGAAGTGTTCTGGAATCCTATGTGGAGGACAAACATTCAGATCCTCACAGCAGTGTTCTGGAATCCTGCGTGCGGGAGAAATAGTGAGACAATAGTAGCAGTGTTCTGGAATCCTATGTTAGGGACAAACATTGAAACAACAGCGGGTGTGTTCTGGAATTGTAAGCAGATGACAAACACTCAGACCCTCGTAGCAGTGTTCTTGAATACTATGTGAGGGACAAACATTCAGAACCCAGCAGCAGTGTTCTGGAACCCTATGTGAGGGACAAACATTCAGGCCACAGAGTGACTCTTCTGGAATCCTATCTGAGGTACAAACACTCAGAACACAGCAGTAGTGTTGTGGAATATTATGTAACGGACAAACATTCAGACCCTCGTAGTAGTGTTCTGGAATCCTAAGTGAGGGATGAACATTCAGACAATCGTAGAAGTGTTCTGCAATATTATGTGAGGGACAAACATTCAGACCTTCATAGCAGTGTTCTGGAATCCTATGTGAGGGACAAACTTTCAGACCCCAACATAAGTGTTCTTGAGTCCTATATGGGGGACAAACATTGAGATACCAAGAGGAGTATTCTGGAATCTTTTGTGAGGGATAAAAATAGAGACCACAGCAGGAATGTTCTGGAATGCTATGTGAGCAACAATCATTGAGACCCTAGCAGCAGTGTTCTTTGGTCATATGTGAGGCACAAACATTCAGACCCCAGCAGCAGTGTTCTGGAACACTATGTGAGGGACAAACATTCAGACAATCGTAGCACTGTTCTGGAATCCTATGTGAGGGACAAACATTAAGACTCCAGCTTCAGTGTTGTGGAATCCTATGTGAGGAACCAAAATTCAAACAACAGCGGGAGTGTTCTGGAATCTTATGTAACGGAGAAATAGTCAGACCCTCGTCGCAGTGTTCTGGAGTTCTATGTGAGGGAGAAACACTCAGAACCCAGCAAAAGCGTTCTTGAATTCTATGGGACTGACATTCATATAGACCCCAACAGCAGTGTTCTGGAATCCTATTTGAGGGACAAACATTAAAACCCCAGAAGCAGTGTTCTGGAATCCTATGTGAGGGACAATCATTCAGACCCTCGTAACAGTGTTTTGGAATTCTGTGTGAGGGACAAACATTCATATGCTCATAGCAGTGTTCTAGAATCTAATGTGAGGAACAAACGTTCAGACCACAAGAGGAATGTTCTGGAATTCCCTGTGAGGAACAAGCATTCAGACCCTCGTAACAGTGTTCTGGAATCCTATGTGACAGAAAAACATTTAGACCCCTGCAGCAGTGTTCTGGAGTCCTATCTGAGGGACAAATATTCAGACAATCGAAGCAGTGTTCTGGAATCCTATGTGGGGGACAAACATTCGGACCCTTGTAGCAGGGTTCTGGAATCCTATGTGAAAGACAAACTTTCAGACCCCAGCATCAGTGTTATTGATTCCTATGTGATGGACAAACATTGAGACCCCAGCGGGAGTGATCGGGAATCTTTTGTGAGGGACAAAAATTCAGACCACAGCAGAAGTGTTCTGGAATGCTATGTGAGCAACAAACATTCAGAACGTAGCAGCAGAGTTCTTTGGTCATATGTGTGGAAAAAACATTGAGACCCCATCAGCAGTGTTCTGGAATCCTATGTGAGTTAAAAACATTCAGACAATCATAACCATGTTCTGGAATCCTATGTGAGGGACAAACATTCAGACCGCAGCAGCAGTGTTCTGGATTTCTAGGCGAGGGATAAACATTCAAACAACAGCGGGAGTGTTCTGGAATCCTACGTAACGGAAAAAGGTTCAGACCCTCATCGCAGTGTTATGGAGTTATATGTGAGGGAGAAACACTCAGAACCCAGCAGCAGTGTTCTGGAATCCTATGTGATGGACACACATGGAGAACCCAGCAGCAGTGTTCTGGATTCCTATGTGAAGGACAAACATTCAGTCCCCGGCAGCAGTGCTCTGGTTTCCTATGTGAGGGACAATCATTCAGACACTCGTAGCAGTGTTCTGGAATTCTGTGTTAGGGACAACCATTGAGAACCTCGTAGCAGTGTTCTGGAATCCTGTGTGTGGGATAAACATTGAGACCACAGCAGGAGTGTTCTGGAGTCCTAAGTCAGGTTCCAACATTCAGACCCTAGCAGCAGTGTTCTGGAAGCCCCTGTGAGGGACAAACATTCGGACCCTTGTAGCAGTGTTCTGGAATCCTATGTGAGGGAGAAACACTCAGAACCCATCACCATTGTTCTGAAATCCTATGTGAGGGAGAATCATTCAGACCCCAGTAGCAGTGTTCTGGAATCCTATGTGAGGGACAAACATTGAGACCCACGTAGCCGTGTTCTATAATCGTATGTGGGGGATAAACTCTCAGAACCAAACAGCAGTTCTCTGGAATCCTAAGTGAGGGAAAAACATTCTGAGCCCAGCAGGAGTGTTATGGAATACTATGTGAGGGACAAACATTCAGACTGCAGCAGGATTGTTCTGGAAGTGTATGCAAGGGAGAAACACTCAGAACCCAGCAGCAGTGTTCTGGAGTCCTATGTGAGGAACAATCTTACAGACCACAGCTGTGGTGCTTTGGAATCCTATGTGTGAGACAAACATTCAGACCCTCGTAGCATTGTTCTGGAATCTATGTGAGGAAAATACATTCAGAACAGAGAACGAGAGATCTGGAGTCCTATGTGCTGGACAAACAATCAGATCCTCGTAGCAGTGTCATGGAATCCTATGTGAGTGACAAACATTTAGACCCACGTTGCAGTGTTCTGGAATCGTACGTGAGGGACATACACTCAGAACACAACAGCAGTGTTCTGGAATCCTAAGTGAGGGACAAACATTCAGACCACAGCAGGAGTGTTCTGGAATCCTATGTGAGGGAGAATAATTCAGAAACTCTTAGTAGTGTTCCAGAATCCTATGTGAGGAACAAACACTCAGAACCCTGTAGCAGTGTTCTGGAATCCTTTCAGAGGGTCAAAAATTCAGAAGAGAGCAGGAGAATTCTGGAATCCTATGTGAGGTTCACTCATTCACACCCTCATAGCATTGTTCTGGAATCCTATGTGAGAGACAAACACTCAGAACCCAGTAGCAGTGTTCTGGAATCCTATGTGAGGGAGATACATTCAGACCACAGCAGGAGTGTTCTGGAATCCTATGTGAGGGAGAGACACTCAGAACCCAGCAGCAGTGTTCTGGAATCCTATGTGAGGGACAATCATTCTGACCACAGCTGGGTGTTCTGGAATCCTTCGTGTGGGACAAACATTCATACCTTCATAGCATTGTTCTTTAATCTTATATGAGGAAAATACATTCAGAACACTGCAGGAATGTTCTGGAGTCCTAGGTGAGGGAGAAACATTCAAACCCTCCTAGCAGTGTTCTGGATTCCTATGTGAGGTACAAACATTTAGACCTACTTAGCAGTGTTCTGGAATCATACATTAAGGGCAAACACTGAGAACCCAACAACTGTGTTCTGGAATCCTAAGTGAGGGACAAACATTCAAACCACAAGAGGAGTGTTCTGGAATGCTACGTGAGGGAGAATTATTCAGACCCTCCTAGCAGTGTTCTGGAATCCTAAGTGAGGGCAAACATTCCGACCCCAGTAGCAGTGTTCTTGAATCCTATTTGAGGGACAAACACTCACACCACAGCAGGATGGTTCTGGAATCCCTTGTGAGGCATGAACACCCAGACCACAGCAGAAGTGTTCTGGAATCCTGTGAGAGAGTCAACTATTCAGACCACAGCAGTAGAGTTCTGGAATCCTACATGTGGGACAAACATTCAGACAACAGCAGGAGAGTTCTGGAATCCTATGTGAGGAAAAAGCATTCAGTCCACAGCAGGAGTGCTCTGGAATCCTATGTGAGGGACAATCATTCAGACAACAGCTGGGGTGTTCTGGAATCCTACGTCTGGGACAAACTTTCAGAGCCTTGTAGCATTCGTGTGGAATCCTATGTCAGGAAAATATGTTGAGAACACAGCAGCAGCGTTCTGGAGTCCTTTGTGTGGGACAAACATTCAGACTCTAGTAGCTGTGTTCTGGAATCCCATGTGATCGAGAAACATTTAGACCCACGTAGCAGTGTTATGGAATCATACCTGAGGGACAAACACTCAGAACTCAACAGCAGTATTCTGGAATCCTAAGTGAGTTGCAAACATTCAGACTACAGCAGGAGTGTTCTGGAATCCTATGTGAGGGAGAAACATTCAGAACACAGCAGCAGTGTTCTGGAATCCTACGTGAGGGACAATCATTCAGACCACAGCAGTAGTGTTCTGCAATCCTACCTGTGGGACAAACATTCACACCCTCGTAGCATTGTTCTGGTATCCAATGTGAGGAAAATACATTCAGAACACAGCAGGAGTTTTCTGGAGTCCTCTGTGTGGGACAAACATTCAGACCCTAATAGCTGTGTTCTGCAATCCTATGTGATCGACAAGCATTTGGACCCACGTAGCAGTGTTCTGGAATTATAACTGAGGGACAAACACTCAGAGCCTAACAGCAGTGTTCTGGAATCCCATGTGAGGGAGAAACATTCAGAACCCAGGAGCAATATTCCAGAATCCTATGTGAGGGACAATCATTCAGACCACCGATGGGATGTTCTGGAATCCTACGTGTGGGACAGACATTCAGACCCTCGTAGCATTGTTCTGGTATCCTATGTGAGGAAAATGCATTTGGAACACAGCAGGAGTGTTCTGGAGTCCTATGTGTGAGACAAACATTCAGAACCTCATAGCAGTGTTCTGGAAACCTATGTGGGGGACAAACCCTGAAACCCACATAGCCGTGATCTAGAATTGTATGTGAGGGACAAACACTCAGAACCCAACAGCAGTGTTCTGGAATCCTAAGTGAGAGACAAGGATTCAGACTACAGCAGGAAAGTTCTGGAATCCTATGTGAGGGAGAATAATTCAGACCCTTGTAGTAGTGTTCTGGAATCCTATGTGAATGAAAGACATTCAGACCGCAGTAGCAATGTTCTGGAATCATGAGGGAGAAACACTCAGAACCCAGCATCAGTGTTCTGTAATCCTATGTGAGGGACAATCATTCACACTACAGCTGGGGTGTTCGAGAATCCTACGTGTGGGACAAACATTCAGACCCTCGTAGCATTGTTCTGGAGTCCTATCTGAGGAAAATACTTTCAAAATACAGCAGTTGTGTTCTGGAGCTCTATGTGGGGGACAAACATTCAGACTCTCATAGCAGTGTTCTGGAATACTATGTAAGGGACAAACATTTACACCCAGGTAACAGTGTTGTGGAATCGTACATGAGGGACAAAAACTAAGAACCATATAGCAGTGTTCTGGAATCCTAAGAGAGGGCCAAACATTCAGAACATACCAGGAGTGTTCTGGAATCCTATGTGAGGGAAAATAATTCAGAGCATCGTAGCAGTGTTCTGGAATCTTACGTGAGGGACAAACATTTAGGCCCCAGTAGCAGTTTTCTGGAATCCTATGGGACAAACATTTAGACCCCAGTAGCAGTTTTCTGGAATCCTATGTGAGGGAGAAATGCTGAGAACCCAGCAGCAGTGTTCTGGAATTCCAAGTGAGGTACAAACATTCAGACCACAGCAGGGGTGTTATGGAATCCTATGTGAGGCAGAAACATTCAGATCACAGAAGGATTGTTCTGGAATCCCATATTAGGCACAAACACCAAGACCACAGCAGGAGTGTTCTGGAATCCTATGTGAGGGTCAACCATTCAGACCACAGCAGGAGTGTTCTGGAATCCTATGTGAGGGTCAACCATTCAGACCACAGCAGTAGTGTTCTGCAATGTTCTATGAGGGACAAACATTCAGACCACAGCAGGTGTGCTCTGGAATCCTATGTGAGGAACAAACATTCAGACCACAGCAGGTGTGCTCTGGAAACCTATGTGAGAAACAAACATTCAGACCACAGCATCAGTGTTCTGGAATCCTATGTGAGGGACCAACACTCAGAACCCAGCAGCACTGTTTGGAATCCTATCTGAGGGGAAAACATTCAAACCACTGTAGGAGTGTTCTGGAATCCTATGTGAGGTACAATCATTAAGACCCTCGTAGCAGTGTTCTGGATTCCCATGTGAGGGAGAAACACTCAGAACCTAGCAGCAGTGTTCTGGAATCCTATGTGAGGGACAGTAATTCAGACCACAGCTTGGGTGTTCTGCAATCCTATGTGAGGGACAAACATTCAGACCCTCTTAGCATTTTTCTGGAATCCTATGTGAGGAAAATACATTCAGAATACAGCAGGAGTGTTCTGGAGTCCTATGTGTGGGACATATATTCAGATCCTCGTAGCAGTGTTCTGGAATCCTATGTGAGTTACGAATATTTAGACCCACATATCAGTGTTCTGGAATCCTATTGGAGGGACAAACACTCAGACTACAGAAGGAATGTTCTGGAATCCTATGTGAGGGAGAGTAATTCGGACCCTCGTTGCAATGTTATGGAATCCTATGTGAAGGACAAACATTCAGACCCCAGTAGCAGTGTTCTGGAATCCTATTTGAGGGACAAACACTCAGACCACAGCAGGAATGTTTTGGAATCCTATGTGAGGGTGAACCATTGAGACCACAGCAGTAGTGTTCTCGTATCCTATATGAAGGACAATCATTTAGACCCATGTAGCAGTGTTCTGCAATCCTAACACTAAGATTAACACAAACACTAAATCCCAACAGCAGTGTTCTGTAATCCTAAGTGAGGAAAAAACATTCAGACCACAGCAGGAGTGTTCTGGAATCCTATGTGAGGGTGATTAATTCAGACACTCGTATCAGTGTTCTGGAATCCTATGTGAGGGACAAACATTCAGACCCCAGTAGCAGTGTTCTGGAATCTTATGTGAGGAAGAAACAGTCAGAATCCGGCAGCAGTGCTCTGGAATCCTTTGTGAGGGACAATCATTCAGACCACAGAGGATTGGTCTGGAATCCTACGTTTGGAACAAACATTCAGACCCTCGTAGCATTGTTTTGGAATCCTATGTGAGGAAAATACATTCAGAACACAGCAGGAGTGTTCTGGATTCCTATGTGCGGGAGACACATTCAAACACTTGTAGCAGTGTTCTGGAATCCTATGTGACAGACAAACATTTAGACCCACATAGAAGTGTTCTGGAATCGTACGTGAAGCACAAACACTCAAAACAGAGCAGTTGTGTTCTGGAATCCTATCTGAGGAACAAACATTCAGACCAGAGCAGGAGTGTTCTGGAATCCTATGTGAGGTACAATCATTCAGACACTCGTAACATTGTTCTGGAAACGTATATGAGGAGAATACATTCAGAACACAGCAGGAGTGTTCTGGAGTCCCATGAGCGGGGCAAACATTCATACCCTCGTAGCTAAGTTCTGGAATCCTATGTGAGGGACAAACATTTAAACCCACATAGCAGTGTTCTGGAATCATACGTCAGGGATAAACACTCAGAACCCAACAGCAGTGTTCTGGAATACAAAGTGAGGGACCAACATACAGACCACAGCAGGAGTGTTCTGGAAAACTATGTGAGGGAGAAAAATTCAGACCCTTGGAGCAGTTTTCTGGAATCCTTTGTGAGGGACAAACATTTAGAGAACCCAGTAGCAGTGTTCTGGAACCCTATGTGAGGGAGAAACAATAAGAACCCAGCAGCAGTGCTCTCGAAACCTATGTGAGGGACAATCATTCAGACCACAGCTGTGGTGTTCTGGAATCCTACCAGTGGGACAACCATTCAGACCCTTCCATTGTTATGGAATCCTATGTGAGGAAAATACATTCATAACACAGCAGGAGAGTTCTTGAGTCCTATGTGTGGGACAAACATTCAGACCCTCGTAGCAGTGTTCTGTAATCCTATGTGAGGGACAGACATTTAGACCCACATAGCAGTATTCTGGAATCGTTTGTGAGGGACAAACACTCAGAACCCAACAGCAGTGTTCTGTAATCCGAAGTGAAGAACAAACATTCAGACCACAGCAGGAGTGTTCTGGTATCCTATGTGAGGGAAAATACTTCAAACCCTGGTAGCAATGTTCTGGAATCCTATGTGAGGGACAAATTTTCAGACCCCAGTAGCAGTGTTCTAGAATACTACTTGAGGAACAAACACTTAGACCACAGCAGGAATGTTCTGCAATCCTATGTGAGGGAGAAACATACAGACCACAGCAGGATTGCTCTGGAATCTCATGTGAGGCACAAACAGCCAGACCACAGCAGGATTGTTCTGGAATACTATGTGTGGTACAACCATTCAGACCACAGGAGTAGTGTTCTGGAATCCTACATGAGGGACAAACATTCAGAGAGTACAGGAGTGTTCTGGAATCATATGGGAGGAACAAACATTCAGACCACAGCAGCGCTTTTTTGGAATCCTATGTGAGGGACAAACACTCAGAACCCAGCAGCAGTGTTCTGGAATCTTATCTGAGAGACAAACATTCAGACCAGAGCAGGGGCGTTCTGGAATCCTATGTGAGGTACAATCATTCAGACCCTCGTAGCAGTGTTCTGGAATCCGATGTGAGGGAGAAACACTCAGAATCCAGCAGCAGTGTTCTGGAATTCTATGTAAGGGACATTCATTCAGACCACAGGTGGGCTATTCTGCAGTCCTTCGTGTGTGACAAACATTCAGACCCTGGTAGCATTGCTCTGGAATCTCATGTGAGAAAAATTATTCAGAACACAGCAGGAGTGTTCTGGAGACCTATGTGCGGGAGAGACATTCAGACCCTCGTAGCAGTGTTGTGGAATCCTATGTGAAGGAGAAACTTTTGGATCCACGTGACAGTGTTCTAGAATCGTACGTGAGGAACACTCAGAACCCAACAGCAGTGTTCTGTAATCCTAAGTGAGGGACAAACATTCAGGCCACAGCCACAGTGTTCTGGAATCCTATCTGAGGGAGAAACACTCAGAACCAAGCAGCAGTGATCTGGAATCCTATGTGAGGGACAAACATTCAGACCACAGCAGGAGTGTTCTGGAATCCTATGTTAGGGAGAATAATTCAGATCCTTTTAGCAATTTCCTGAAATCCGACGTGAGGGACAAACATTCAGACACCAGTAGCAGTTTTCTGGAATCCTATGTGAGGGAGAAACACTCAGAACCCAACAGCAGTTTTCCGGAATCCTATGTGAGGGACAATCATTCAGAACACAGCTGGGACGTTTTGGAATCCTGCATATCGGACAAACATTCAAACCCTCATAGCATTGTTCTGGAATCCTAAGTGAGGAAAATATTTTCAGAAAACAGCAGATGTTTTCTGGAGTCCTGTGGGTGGGACAACATTCAGACCCTCGTAGCAGTGTTCTGGAATCCTATGTGAGAGAAAAACATTTAGACCCACGTAGCAGTGTTCTGGACTAGTATGTAAGTGAGAAATACACAGAACCCAACAACAGTGTTCTCGAATAGTAAGTGAGGGACAAACATTCAGACAACAGGTGGAGTGTTCTGGAATCCGATGGGATGGGGAATAATTAAGACACCCGTAGCAGTGTTCTGGAATCCTATGTGAGGGGCAAACATTCAGACCTTCATAGCAGTGTTCTGGAATCCTGTGTGACGGACAAACATTTAGAATCAAGTAGCAGTGTTCTGTAATCAAAGGTGAGGGACAAACACTCAGAACCCAACAGCAGTGTTCTAGAATCCTCAGTGAGCGACAAACATTCAGACCACAGCAGGAGAGTTCTGGAACCCTATGTGAGGGACAAACATTCAGACACTCATAGCAGTGTTCTGGAATCCTATGAGAGGGACAAACATTTAGACCCACGTACCAGTGTGCTGGAATAGTACGTGAGGGACAAACACTCAGAACACAACAGCAGTGTTCTGGAATCCTAAGTGAGGGACATTCAGATGATGGCAGGAGTGTTCTGGAATCCTATGTGAGGGAGAATAATTCAGAACCTCGTAGCAGTGCTCTGGAATCCTATGTGAGGGACAAACTTTCAGACCCCAGCAGCAGTGTTCTGAAATCCTATGTGAGAGAGAACCTCTCAGAAACCAGCAGCAGTTTTCCAGAATCTTATATGAAGGCCAATCATTCAGACGATAGCTGGGGTGTTCTGGAAACCTAACTGTGGGACAAACATTCAGACCCTCGTAGCGGTGTTCGGGAATCCTATCTGAGGGACAAACATTTAGAGACACGTAGCAGTGGTCTGGAATCGTAAATGAGGGACAAACACTCAGAACCCAACAGCAGTATTCTGGAAACCTAAGTGAGAGACACGCATTCAGACAACAGCAAGAGTGTTCTGGATTCCTATGTGAGGGAGAAACACTCAGAACCCAGCGTCATTGTTCTGGATCCTATGTGAGAGACCATCAGAAAGATCACAGCTGGTGGGTTCTGGAATCCAAGTTTGGGACAAAGATTCAGACCCTCGTAGCATTGTTCTGGAGTCCTGTGTGAGGGACAAACATTTAGACCCACGTGGCAGGGTTCTGGAATCGTACATGAGGGACAAACACTCAGAACCCAACAGCAGTGTTCTGGAATCCTCAGTGAGGGATAAACATTCAGACGACAACAGGAGTGTTCTGGAATCCTATATGATGGAGAATAATTCAGACCCTTGTAGCAGTGTTCTGGAATCCTATGTGAGGGAGAAACTTTCAGACCACAGTAGCAGTGTTCTGGAATCCTATTTGTGGGAGAAACACTCAGAAAACAGCAGGAATGTTTTGGAACCTATGTGAGGGAGAAACATTCAGACCACAGCAGGATTCTGGTCAACAATTCAGACCAAGGCAGTAATGTTCTGGATTCCTATATGAGGGACAATCGTTCAGACCATAGCAGGTGAGTTCTGGAGTCCTATGCGAGGAACAAACATTTTGAACACAGCAGCAGTGTTCTGGAATCCTATTTGAGGGACAAACGTGCAGAACCTAAGAGCAGTGATCTGGAATCCTATCTGTGGGACAAATATTCAGAACGGAGCAGGAGGGTTCTGGAATACTATGTGAGGTACAATCATTCAGAACCTCGTAGCAGAGTTCTGGAGTCCTATGTGAAGGAGAAACACTCAGAACCCAGCAGCAGTGTTCGGGAATCCAATGTGAGGGACGATCTTTCAGACCACAGCTGTGGTGTTCTGGATTCCTAAGTGTGGGACAAACATTCAGACCCTCTTAGCATTGTTCTGGAATTTTATGTGAGGTAAATACATTCAGAACACAGAAGGAGATTTCTGGAGTCCATTGTGCGGGACAAACATTCAGAACCTCACAGCAGTATTCTGCAATCCTATGTGAGGGATAAACATTTAAACCCACGGAACAGTGTTCTGGAATCTTACATAAGGGACAAACACTCAGAACCCAACAGCAGTGTCCTAGAATCCCAAGTGAGGGACAAACATTCAGACCACAGCAGGAATCTTCTGGAATCCTATGTGAGGGAGAATAATTCAGACACTCGTAGCAGTGTTCTGGAATCCTATGTGAGGGACAAACATTCAGACCACAGCAGTAGTGTTCTGGAATCCTATGTGAGGGAGAAACACTCACAACTGAGCAGCAGTGTTCTGGAATCCTATGGGAGGGACAATCATTCAGATCACACCTGGGGTGCTCTGAAATCCTACATGTGAAAGAAACATTCACACGCTAGTAGCGTTGTTCTGGAATCCTGTGTGAGTAAAATACTTTCAAAACACAGCAGGAGTGTTCTGGAAGCCTATATGCGGGATATAAATGCAGTCCACAGTAGCAGTGTTCTGGAATCCTATGTGAGGCAAACACTCAGTACCCAAGGGCAGGGATCTGGAATCCTCAGTGAGGGACAAACATTCTGACCACAACAGGAGAGTTCTGGAAACCTATTTGAGGGAGAAAGCTTCAGAACCCAGCAGCAGTGTTCTGGAGTCCTATGTGTGGGACAATCATTCAGAAAACCGCTAGGGTGTACTAGAATCCTAAGTGTGGAACAAAGATTCAGAACCTTGTAGCATTGTTCGGGACTTCTATGTGAATAAAATACATTCAGAACACAGCAGGAGTGTTCTGTAGTCTTATATGAAGAAAAAGCATTCAGTCCTTCATAGCACGGTTCTGGAATCCTATGTGAGGGACAAACATTTAGACTCATGTAGAATTGTTCTGTAACCCTACGTGAGGGACACTCAGAACCCAACAGCAGTGTTCTGGATTCCTAAGTGAGCGACAAACATTCAGACCACAGAAGGAGTGTTCTGTAATCCTATGTGAGGGAGAAACACTCAGAACCCATAAGCCATGTTCTGGAATCCTATGTAAGAGACAATCATCCAGACCATTGTAACATTGTTCTGGAATCCTATGTGAGAAAAACACCTTCAAAACACAGCAGTAGTATTCTGGAGATCTATGTGCGAGACAAACATACAGACCCTCGAAACAGTGTTCTGGAATCCTAGGTAAGGGAAAAACATTTAGACCCACATAGCAGTCTTCTGGAATCGTACGTGAGGAACAAACATTCCGAACCCAACAACAGTGTTCTGGAATCTTAAGTGAGGGACAAACATTCAGACCACAGCAGGAGTGTTCTGGAATCCCATGTGTGGGAGAATAATTGAGACCCTTGTAGCAGTGTTCTCGAATCCTATCTGAGGGAAAAAAATTCAGACCCCAGTAGCAGTGTTATGGAATCCTCAGTGAGGGAGAAACACTCAGAACCCAGCAGCAGTGTTCTGGAATCCTATGTGTTGGACAATCATTCAGACCACAGCTGGGGTGTTCTGGATCCCTAGGTGTGGGACAAACATTCAGACCCTCGTAGTAATGTTCTGGAATCCTATGTGAGGAAGAACATTCAGAAGACAGCAGGAGTGTTGTGGAGTCCTATGTGTGGGACAAACATTCAGACCCTCGTAGCAGTGCTCTGGAATCCTACGTGAGGAACAAACTTTCAGACCACAGTAGAAGTATTCTGGAATCCTATTTGTGGGACAAACACTCAGACCACAGCAGGAATGTTTTGGAATCCTATGTGAGGGAGAATCATGCAGACCACAGCAGGATTGTTCTGGAATCCCACGTAAGGCACAAACACCCAGACCACAACAGGAGTGTTCTGGAATCCTATGTAAGGGTCAACCTTTCAGAACACAGCAGCAGTGTTCTGGAATCCTATAGGAGGGACAAACATTCAGACCACAGCAAGAGAGTTCTGGAATCCTATGTGAGGAACAAACATTCAGGCCACAGCAGCAGTGTTCTGGAATTCTATGTAAGGGACAATCATTCAGAACACAGCTGGGGTGTTCTGGAATCCTACGTGTGGGACAAACATTCAGACCCTCGTATCATTGTTCCAGAATCCTATGTGAGGAAGAACATTCAGAACACAGAAGGAGTGTTCTGGAGTCCTATGTGCATGACAAACACTCATACTCTCATGGTAGTGTTCTGGAATCCTATGTGAGGGACAAACATTTAGAAGCACGTAGCAGTGTTCTGGAATCGTACATGAGGGACAAACACTCAGAACCCAACAGCAGTGTTTTGGAGTCCTAAGTGAGGGAAAAACATTCAGACCACAGTAGGAGTGTCCTGGAGTCCTATGTGAGGGAGAATAATTCAGACCATTGCAGCAGTGTTCTGGAATCCTTTGTGAGGGACAAATATTCAGATGTCAGTAGCAGGGTTCTGCAATCCTATGTGAGGGAGAAACACTCAGAACCCAGCAGCGGTGTCCTGGAATGCTAATTGAGGGAAAAACACACAGATCACAGAAGGAATATTCTGGAATCCATTGTGAGGGAGAATAATACAGACCCTCGTAGCAGTGTTCTGGAATCCTATGTGAGGGAGAAATGCTCAACCCAGAAGCAGTGTTCTGCAATCCTATGTGAGGGACAATCATTCAGACTACAGCCGGGGTGTTCTGGAGTCCTACGTGTGGGACAAACATGCAGACCCGCGTAGCATTTTTCTGGAATCCTCTTTGAGGAAAATACATTCAGAACACAACAGGAGTGTTGTGGAGTCCTATGTGCGGGACAAACATTCAGTCCCTCGTAGCAGTGTTCTGGAATGCCATGTGAGGGAGAAACACTCATAACCCAGTAGTAGTATTGTGGAATCCTATATGAGGGACAATCATTCATACCACAGTTGAGGCATTCTGGAATCCTATGTGTGGGGCAAACATTCAGACCCGGACCCTTGTAGCACTGTTCTGCAATCCTATGTGAGGAACAAACTTTTAGACCCAGGGAGCAGTGTTCTGGAACCGCAAGTGAGAGACAAACACTTGGAACCCTACAGCAGTGTCCTGGAATCCTAATTGAGGGACAAACATACAGACCACGAAGGAATCTTCTGGAATCCTATGTGAGGGAGAATAATTCAGACCCTCGTAGCAGTGTTCTGCAATCCTATGTGAGGGAAAAACTTTCAGACCACAGTAGCAGTGTTCTGGAATACCATGTGAGGGAGAAACACTCACAACCCAGCAGCAGTGTTCTGGAATCCTATGTGAGGGACAATCATTCAGACCACAGCTGAGTTGTTCTGGAGTCCTAGGTTTGGGACAAAGATTCAGACTCACGTAGCATTGCTGTGGAATCCTATGTGAGGAAAATACTTTCAGAACACACTAGGTGTGTTCCAGAGTCCTATGTGCGAGACAAACATTCAGTCCCTTGTAGCAGTGTTCTAGAATCCTATGTGAGGGACAAACATTTACACCCATGTATCAGTGTTCTGTAACCGTACGTGAAGGACAAACAGTCAGAACCCAACAGCAGTGTTCTGCATTCCTAAGTGAGGGACAAACATTCAGATCATAGAAGGAGTGTTCTGTAATCCTATGTGAGGGAGAAACATTCAGAACCCAGAAGAAGTGTGCTGGAATCCTCTGTGAGGGACAATCATTTATACCATTGTAGCATTGTTCTGGAATCCTATGTGAGGAAAAACCCTTCAGAACACAGCAGTAGTGTTCTGCGGACCTACGTGCGGGACAAACATACAGACCCTCATAGCAGTGTTCTGGAATCTTATGTGAGGGAAAAACATTTAGACACACGTAGCAGTGTTTTGGAATCGTACGTGAGGGTCAAACACACAGAACCCGACAGCAGTGTTCTGGAAGCTTAAGTGAGGGACAAACATTCAGACCACAACAGGAGTGTTCTGGAATCCTATGTGAGGGAGAATAATTAAGATCCTCATAGCAGAGTTCTGGAATCCTATGTGAGGGAGAAAAATTCAGATCCCAGTAGCAATGTTTTGGAATCCTACGTAAAGGAGAAACACTCAGAACCCAGCAGCTGCGTTCTGGAATCCTATGTGAGGGACAATCATTCACACCACATCTGGGATGTTCTGGGTCCCTATGTGTGAGACAAACATTCAGACCCTCATAGCAATGTTATGGAATACTATGTGAGGAAGAACATTCAGAACACAGCAGCAGTGTTCTGGAGTCCTATGTGAGGGACAGTCATTCAGACCCCAGTTGGGGTGTTTTGGATCCCTAGGTGTGGGACAAATATTCAGAACCTCGTAGCATTGTTCTGGAATCCTATGTGAGGAAGAACATTCAGAACACAGTAGGAGTGTTCTGGAGTCCTATGTGCGGGACAAGCATTCAGAACCTCGTAGCAGTGTTCTGGAATTCTATGGGAGGGACCAACATTTAGACCCACGTAGCAATGTTCTGGAATCGTATGGGGGGGGAAACACTCAGTACCCAAGAACAGGGATCTGGAATCTTCAGTGAGTGACAAACATTCTGACCAGAGCAGGAGTGTTCTGGAAACATATTTGAAGGACAAACACTCAGAACCCAGCAGCTTTGTTCTGGAATCCTATGTGTGGGACAATCATTCAGAAAACCACTGAGGTGTTCTGGAATCCCACGTGTGGAACAAACATTCAGACCCTTGTAGCATTGTTCTGGAATCCTATGTGAGGAAAATACCTTCAGAACAAAGCAGGAGTGTTCTGGAGTCCTATGTGTGGGACAAACATTCAGAGCCTCGTAGCAGTGTTCTGGAATCTGATGTGAGGGAAAATCATTTAGACCCACGTAGCAGTGTTCTGGAATCGTACATGAGGGACAAACACTCAGACTCCAACAGCAGTGTTCTGGAATCCTAAGAGTGGGACAAACATTCAGACCACAGCAGGAGTGTTCTGGAATCCTATATGAGGGAGAATAAATCAGACGCTGTTAGCAGTGTTCTGTAATCCAATGTGAGGGACAAACTTTCAGACACCAGTAGCAGTATTCTGGAATCCTATTTGTGGTACAAACACTCAGACCACAGCAGGAATGTTTTGGAATCCTATGTGAGGGACAAACAGTCAGACCACAGCAGGATTGTTATGAAATCCCATGTGAGGCAAAAACACCCAGACCACAGCAGGAATGTACTGGAATCCTATGTGAGGGTCAACCATTCAGAATACAGCAGGAATGTTCTGGAATCCTATGTGAGTGTCAACCATTCAGACCACAGCACTAGTGTAATGGAATCCTACGTGAGGGACAAACTTTCAGAACCTCGTAACAGTGTTCTGGAATCCTATGTGAGGGACAAACACTCAGAACCCCGCAGCAGTGTTCTGGAATCCTAAGTGAGGGGCAAACATTCAGACCACAGCAGGAGTGTTCTGGAATCCTATGTGAGGGAGAATAATTCAGACCCTCGTAGCAGTGGTCTGGAATCCTATGTGAGGGAAAAACACTCAGAACCCAGCAGCAGTGTTCTGGAATCCTATGTGAGGGACAATCATTGAGACCACAACTGGGGTCTTCTTGAATCCTACGGGTTGGAAACGCATTCAGACTCTCGTAGCATTGTTCTGGAATCCTATTTTAGGAAAATACATTCAGAACACAGCGGGAGTGTTCTGGAGTCCTATGTGTGGGACAAATATTCAGACTCTCGTAGCAGTGTTCCGGAATCCTATGAGAGGGACAAATACTCAGAAACCCACAGCAGTGTTCTGTAATCCTATGTGATGTTCAAACATTCAGACCACAGCAGGAGTGTTCTGGAATCCAATGTGAGGGACAAGCATTCAGACCCCATCAGCAGTGTTCTGGAATCCTATCTGAGGGACAAACATTGACACCCAAGTAGCAGTGTTCTGGAATCTTATGTGCGGGACAAACACTCAGAACCCAACAGCAGTGTTCTGGAATCCTAAGTGAGGGACAACCATTCAGACCACAGCAGGAATGTTCTGGAATCCTGAGTGAGGCATAAACATTCAGACCACAGCAGGAGTGTTCTGGAATGCTATGTGAGGGAGAATAATTCAGACCCTCATAGCAGTGTTCTGGAATCCTATTTGAGGCACAAACATTCAGACCCCAGTAGCAGTGTTTTGGAATCCTATTTGAGAGACAAACACTCAGACCACAGAAGGAATGTTTTGGAATCCTATCTGAGGGGGAAACATTCAGAACACAGCAGGATAGATCTGGAAACCCTTGTGAGTCACAAACACCCAGAAGACAACAGGAATATTCTGGAATCCTATGTGAGGGTCAAGCATTCAGACCACATCAGTAGTGTTCTGGAATCCTATGTGAGGGACAAACATTTAGACCCACGTAGCAGTGTTCTGGAATCCTATGTATGAGACAAACATTCAGAAACTCTTAGCAGTGTTGTGGAATCCTATGTGAGGGAGAAACACTCAGAACCCAGTAGCAGTGTTCTGGAATCCTATGTGAGGGACAAATACTCAGAACCCAGAAGCTGTGTTCTGGAATCCTATCTGAGGGACAAACATTCAGACCAGAGCAGGAGTGTTCTGGAGTCCTATGTGTGGGACAAACATTCAGACCCTCGTAGCAGTGTTGTGGAATCCTACGTGGGAGACAAACACTCAGAACCCAGTAGTAGTGTTCTGGAATCCTATCTGAGGGACAAAAATTCAGACCAGAGCAGGAGTGTTCTGGAATCCTATGTGAGGTACAATCATTCAGACCCTTGTACCAGTGTTCTGGAATCCTATGTGAGGGAGAAACACTCAGAACCCAGCAGCAGTGTTCTGGAATCCTATGTGAGGGACAATCATTCAGACTGCAGCTGGGGTGTTCTGGAATCCTACTTGTGGGAGAAGCATTCAGACCCTCGTAGCATTGTTCTGGAATCCTATGTTAGGAAAACACATTCAGAACACAGCAGGAGTGTTCTGGAGTCCTATGTATGGGACAAAGATTCAGACCCTCGTAGAAGTGTTCTGGAATCTTATGTGAGGTAGAAACAATCGTACCCTCTTAGCAGTGTTCTGCAATCTCATGTGAAGGACAAACATTCAGACCCTCTTAGCAGTGTTCTGGAATCCTATGTGAGGGACAAACACTCAGAACCCAGCAGCAGTGTTCCGGAATATTATCTGAGGGACAAACATTCAGACTAGAGGAGGAGTGTTCTGGAATCCTGTGTGAGGTACAATCATTCAGACCGCAGCAGCAGTGTTCTGGAATCATATGTGGGGGGCAATCATTCAGACGACAGCTGGGGTGTTCTAGAATCCTATGTGTGGGACAGGCATTCAGACCCTCGTAGCATTGTTCTGGAATCCTATGTTAAGAAAATACAAATGTAAGGCTGAAAGTTGTAAAACTCCTACACAAAAATATAAGGGAAAAAATATCCTACATTATGCCATTGAATTTGGCAAAGGGTTCTTGACTGTCAGCAGCCCCACATCCCTGGAGCATCCATCCGCTCACCGCTGCCTGGTGCTAGGTCCCTCCACACCTAGCCCTGCTTTGTGAGGGGCTCTGAGGGGCACCAGCCAGGACCCCACTCTGAGCACACGGCACAGGCCGGGCATTCTCGGGCTATTCACTGGCAGGCTATCCCCACGTGTGCCTCAAGTACCAGGAGGAAGGGCAGCCTGATTGGAGTCTGTGGAAGTAGGAAGAAGCTCGTTTCCTGAGCCAGCAGGTACACAGAGGCGGATGCGGGACACAGGGACCCAGGGGTGGATGCCATAAAAATATATGGCATGTATTTTGAAACATGGCTGCAATTTCAATAATTAGAATATCTAAAAACTCCAAAGATTGTTATGCTAAAACTGCACCAAAATTTATCATTCCAGTGACTACAGGGAATTTTTAATAGTTGTTATTTTTGTAATAAAATTGAACTGTAATGAAATAACTGACTTTCAAACTTCAGCAAGAGGACAAATATTCAGCCAGAGATATCAGTTCCCAGTTTCTGCTCCGGGTCTTCTCTGGTCTCCCACAGCCCCTCTTGCATCACCCAGGGCTAAGGGGCCACCTGATCTGGCCTGCATCCCCTCATCCCTCCCCTTCCCCACCCAGCTCCTGCAGCAACCTCCTGGGGCAGGTTTGGCGAACCGTCCAGAGCGGGAGGCTCCCTCGACCAGGGCAGCACTGCTTCGCCCCTCTCCGCACCTGCCCAGTCTCTGGCAAAGGACGTGCCTGGGCCTGGCCCACTGCCCGCCCCCCCAACGCCTGCCTTGTCCCTGCAATGGCAATGCTGCCAACAAGAGTTGCCAGAAGCTGAGGCGCAACCACCCCAGAGTGCAGCGTTCCCACTCATCTGGGAGCAGGGACACGCCCCTCCTGGTAGGTTGTACAGTCAAGATTATTTCCTCATTTATTTTACTTAAAACTGGTAGAATGTTACTATTATATGGTGTACTCATGATTCTGCCAGTAAATTTGGGCATACGTTTATTAGTTTTTGTCAGTTTAACTAGTTCTTTTGTTTCTGTTATTAAGGTGAAATTTAACTTCTATCTGAAATCAGTAAGATACAGAGAGATTTTAATGAGAAGTGAATATTTTTTTCTAAGGGGGAACTGATATCTCTGTCTGAATATGTGTCCTCTTGCTAAAGTTTGAAAGTCAGTTATTTTATTAAAATTTAATTTATTATAAAAATAACTATTAAAAATTCCCTGTCATCAATGGAAGGATAAATTTTAGTGCAGTGTTGGTATAACAATCTTCGGAATTTTTAAATATTCTAATTATTCAAATTGTGGTCATGCTTTAAAAATATATTCCATAGAAGTTATGCTATTTTAAAATACCATTCTCTATTGTGGGAAGAAGCAGTAAATTCACCTTAACCATAGCAGCCTGTAGAGCTGGCTAAAACAACCTTTAGAGGTTAAATTGTAATGAGGTAGGTCATCAATGCAAAAAACAGTTTTTTTAGTTGTTCCGCTACCATACAAAACTTATTAGAAGAATGTTCATAAATTAAAATCTGTGTTTGTTAAGACTTCTTTCTGCTGGGGGTTTAGAATGTAATAAAAGCTAAAAATAAAATTCTAAGCCACGTATCACTGAACATACTTCCTCTTGAGCAAGAAGACCCCAGAAAAAAACTTAAAAACTGAATTTCTGGCTATGACAGGAAGAGAGGTGTTATGTGCAGGAGATGCTCCAGGGGAGGAGAAAACACACACACACAAAACTTTAAAGGTCAACAAACTCTATCCCACATAAATGGCAATGCAGATATAATAAGCAAATGATGATAAAATAAGCAAATTGATACAACAAGCAAATTACAATGGGAAAGGGGAGAAGGAAAAAAATGTGTATACATATGTATATATATATATATATATAGATAGACTATGGAAGATTGATCACCAGACCGAGAAGCAACAGCCTGGGCTCCAGAGTCAGCCATTCGTCCATGCACAAAGGAACACAAAAAGGTCAATTTGTTTTTGCCATTGTCTGTTGTTTTTCAATAACTAACGTATAGGAATAGATTGAAATAGAGATTTCTCTGAAACAGTGCTGGATGAATGCCTCAAGGGGCTCACAAAACCTATTCTGGGACTTGGTGACCATTGTGTCCATGTTCAATTGAGTTGAAATATATTATTTAACTTTTTCTCTGTATTCGGTCCCACTTGATACTCAATTGTAGGAAAACACCCTTGCAGATATACGGGGAATACATCATTGGTAGAGGTTAAAGAAGCAGGGTAAGCAGAGGAGAATTAAAGCACAATTAAATAAAATCACACCCACCAAGGCCAACGCCAATGTCAGTTGGACAGCCAATTCATGATGGGGTCCTGACAGATTCTAACTGTTTTAGTTGTCCTTGCATGTCTTGGGCAAGGAAAGTAATATTGTGAGAACTGTCAGGGATACACACACAACATTCAGTATGCAGCAAGGTTCAAACCCCTCCTTTGGCTGCTGCAAGCATACCTAATGGCATTCGATTTTGCTCCCAGTGTAATCAAGCAGAAAATGGTTGATTTCTGCATTTCCAACTGAGGTACCTGATTCATCTCATCGGGATTGGTTGGACAGTGGGTTCATCACATGGAGGGTTAGCCGAAGCAGGACAGGGCATCAACTCATCAAGGAAGTGCAAGGGTTTGAGGGATTTTCCTTTCCTAGCTGAGGGAAGGCATGACAGACTGTACCTGGAAAAACAGGACACTCTCACCCAAATGCTGCACTTTTCCCACAGTCTTAGCACCTGGCAGACCAGGAGATTCTCTCCTGTGCTGGGTTCATTGAGTCCCACACCCAGAGAGCCTTGTTCACTGCTAGGGAAGCAGTCTGAGATTAACCTTCAAGGCAGCAGCTGGGCAGGGGGAGGTGAATCTGCAATTTTTGAGGTTTGAGTAGGTAAATAAAGTGGTCAGGAAGCTTGAACTGGGTAGAGCCACTCACAGCTCAGCAAGGCCTACTGCCTTAATAAACTCAAACTCTGTGGGCAGGGCATAGCTGAGTAAAAGGTAGCAGAAACTTCTGCGGACTTAAACATCCCATCTGACAGCTCTGAAGAGAGCCGTGGTACTCCCGGCATGGTGTTTGAGCTCTGAGAATGGACATACTGCCTCCTCAAGTGGGTCCCTGAACCCCATGTAGCCTAACTGGGAGACAACTCCTAGTAAGGGCCAACAGACACCTCATACAGGTGGGAGCCCCTCTTCAATGAAGCTTCCAGGGAAGGATCAGGAAGCAATATTTGCTGTTCTTCAGCCTCTTCTGGTGATACCCAGGCAAACAAGGCCTGGAGTGGACCTCCAGCAAAATCCAACAGACCTGCAGCTGAGGGATCTGACTGTTAGTAGGAAAACTAACAAACAGAAAGGAATAGCATCAACATAAAAAAAAAGGACATCCACACCAAAACCCCATCTCTAGGTTAACAACATCAAAGACCAAAGGTAGAGAAAACCACAAAGATGGGAAGAATCCAGAGCAGAAAAGATGAAAATCCTAAAACCCAGAACACTTCTTTTCCTTCAAAGGATTGCAGCTCCTCACCAGCAACAGAACAAAGCTGAAGGGAGAATGACTTTGACCTGTTGACAGAAGGAGGCTTCAGAAGGTTGCTAATAAGAAACTTCTCTGAGCTAAAAGAGCGTGTTTGAACACACTGCAAGGAAGCTAAAAACCATGAAAAATGGTCAGACAATGGCTAACTAGTATAAACAGTGTAGAGAATACATTAATGACATTATGGAGCTGATATGGCACAAGAACTTTGTGGCACATGCACAACCTTCAAAAGCTGATTCAATCCAGTGGAAGAAAGCATATCAGTGATTGAAGATCAAATTAATAAAATACAGTGAGAAGGTAAGTTTAGAGTAAAAAGATTGGAAAGAAACAAACAAAGCCTCCATGAAAAATGGAACAATGTGAAAAGACCAAATCTACATTTGCTTGGTGTACCTAAATGTGATGGAGAGATTGGAACCAAGTTGGAAAACACTCCTTAGGTTATTATTCAGAAGAACTTTTCCAACATAGCAAGGCAGGCCAACATTCAAATTCAGGAAATACAGAGAATACCACAAAGATACTTCTAGATAAGAGCAACCCCAAGACACTAATTGTCAGATTCACCAGGGTTGAAATGAAGGAAAAAATGTTAAGGGCAGCCAGAGAGAAAGGTTGGGTTATCCACAAAGGGAAGCCCATCAGACTAACAGCAGATCTGTCAGCAGAAACCCTGCAAGCCAGAAGAAAGTGGGGACCAATATTCAACATTCTTAAAGAAAAGAATTTTCAGCCCAAAATTTCATATCCAGCTAAACTAAGCTTCATAAGTGAAGGAGAAATAAAATCCTTTACAGACAAGCAAATGCAGAGAGATTTTGTCACCACCTGGCCTGCCTTACAAGAGCTCCTGAAGGAAGCACTAAGAATGGAAAGGAACTACCAGTACAAGCCCCTGCAAAAAACATGTCAAATTGTAAAGAACATTGATACTATGAAGAAGCTGCATCAAAAAATGGGCAAAAGATCAAGCTAACATTATAATGACAGGATCAAATTCACACATAACAATATTGATCTTAAATGTAAATGGACTAAATGCCCCAATTAAAAGACATAGACTGGCAAATTGGATAAAGAGTCAAGACCCATCAATGTGCTGTATTCAGAAGACACATCTCACGTGCAGAGACACACATAGGCTCAAAATAAAGGGATGAGGAAGATCTACCAAGCAAATGGAAAGCAAAAAAAAAAAAATTTTAAAGCAGGGGTTGCAATCCTAGTCTCTGATAAAACAGACTTTAAACAAACAAAGATCAAAGGACACTAAGAAGGCCATTATACAATGGCAAAAGGATTAATTCAGCAAGAAGAGCTAACTACTGTAAATATATATGCACCCAACACAGGAGGACCCGGATTCATAAATTAAGTCCTTAGATACCTACAAACAGACTTAGACTTCCACAAAATAATCATGGGAGATTTTAACACCCTACTGTCAATATTAGACAAATCAACAAGACAGAAGGTTAACAAGGATATCCAGGACTTCAGCTCAGCTCTGCACCAAGCAGACCTAACAGAAATCTACAGAACTCTCCACCCCATATCAGCAGAATAAACATTCTTCTCAGTACCACATCACACTTATTCTAAAATGGATCACATAATTGGAAGTAAGCACTCCTCAGCAAATGTAAAAGAACAGATATCACAACAAACTGTCTCTCAGATCACAGAGCAATCAAATTAGGACTCAGGATTAAGAAACTCACTCAAAACAGCATAAGTTCGTGGAAACTGAACAAACTGCTCATGAATGACTACTGGGTAAATAATGAAATAAAGGTAACAATAAAGATGTTCTTGGAAACCAGTGAGAACAAAGACAAAAAACACCAGAATCTCAGGGACACATTTAAAGCAGTGTGTAGAGGGAAATTTATAGCACTAACTGCCCACAAGAGAAAGCAGAAAAGATCCAAAATTGACACCCTAACATCACAATTAAAAGAACTAGAAAAGCAAGAGCAAACACATTCAAAAGCTAGCAGAAGGCAAGAAATAACTAAAATCAGAGCAGAACTGAAGGAAATAGAGACACCCTTCAAAAAATTAATGGATCCAGGAGCTGTTTTTTTGAAAGGATCAACAAAATTGATAGACCACTAGCAAGACTAATACAGAAGAAAAGAGAGAAGAATCAAATAGATGCAATAAAAAATGATAAAGGGGATATCACCACCGATCCCACAGAAATACAAACTACCATCAGATAATACTACCAACACCTCTACACAAATAAACTAGAAAATCTAGAAGAAATGGATAAATTCCTATATACATACACTCTACCAAGACTAAACCAGGAATAACTTGAATCTCTGAATAGACCAATAACAGGTTCTGAAATTGTGGCAATAATCAATAGCTTACCAACCAAAAGGAGTCCAGGACCAGATGGATTCACAGACGAATTCTGCCAGAGGTACAAGGAGGAACTGGTACCGTTCCTTCTGAAACTATTCCAATCAATAGAAAAAGAGGAAATCCTCCCTAACTCATTTTATGAGGCCAGCATCATCCTGATACCAAAGCCAGGCAGAGACACAACCAAAAAAGAGAATTTTAGACCAATATCCTTGATGAACATTGATGCAAAAACCCTCAATAAAATACTGGCAAACTGAATACAGCAGCACATCAAAAAGCTTGTCCACCATGATCAAGTGGGCTTCATCCCTGGGATGCAAGGCTGGTTCAATATACACAAATCAATAAATGTAGTCCAGCATATAAACAGAACCAAAGACAAAAACCACATGATTATCTCAATAGATACAGAAAAGGCCTTTGACAAAATTCAACAACCCTTCATGCTAAAAACTCTCAATAAATTAGGTATTGATGGGACGTATTTCAAAATAATAAGAGCTATCTATGACAAACCCACAGCCAATATCATACTGAATGGTCAAAAACTGGAAGCATTCCCTTTGAAAACTGACACAAGACAGGGATGCCCTCTCTCACCACTCCTATTCAACATAGTGTTGGAAGTTCTGGCCAGGGCAATTAGGCAGGAGAAGGAAATAAAGGGTATTCAATTAGGAAAAGAGGAAGTCAAATTGTCCCTGTTTGCAGATGACATGATTGTGTATCTAGAAAACCCCATTGTCTCAGCCCAAAATCTCCTTCAGCTGATAAGCAACTTCAGCAAAGTCTCAGGATACAAAATCAATGTACAAAAATCACAAGCATTTTTATACACCAATAATAGACAAACAGAGAGCCAAATCATAAGTGAACTCCCATTCACAATTGCTTCAAAGAGAATAAAATACCCAGGAATCCAACCTACAAGGGACGTGAAGGACCTCTTCAAGGTGAACTACAAACCACTGCTCAAGGAAATAAAAGAGGATACAAACAAATGGAAGAACATTCCATGCTCATGGGTAGGAAGAATCAATATCGTAAAAATGGTCATAATGCCCAAGGTAATTTATAGATTCAATGCCATCCCCATCAAGCTACCAATGACTTTCCTCACAGAATTGGAAAAACTACTTTAAAGTTCATATGGAACCAAAAAAGAGCCCGTATCGCCACGTCAATCTTAAGTCAAAAGAACAAAGCTGGAGGCATCACACTACCTGACTTCAAACAATACTACAAGGCTACAGTAACCAGTAACCAAAACAGCACGGTACTGGTACCAAAACAGAGATATAGACCAATGGAACAAAACAGAGCCCTCAGAAATAATGCCACATATCTACAACTATCTGATCTTTGACAAACCTGAGAAAAACAAGCAATGGGGAAAGGATTCCCTATTTAATAAATGGTGCTGGGAAAACAGGCTAGCCATTTGTAGAAAGCTAAAGCTGGATCCCTTCCTTACACCTTATACAAAAATTAATTCAAGAAGGTTTAAAGACTTAAACATTAGACCTAAAACCATAAAAACCCTAGAAGAAAACCTAGGCAATACCATTCAGGACATAGGCATGTGCAAGGACTTCATGTCTAAAACACCAAAAGCAATGGCAACCAAAGCCAAATTGACAAATGGGATCTAATTAAAGAGCTTCTGCACAGAAAAGAAACTACCATCAGAGTGAACAGGCAACCTACAGAATGGGAGAAAAGTTTTGCAACTTACTCATCTGACAAAGGGCTAATATCCAGAATCTACAATGAACTCAAACAAATTTACAAGAAAAAAACAAACAATCCCATCAAAAAGTGGGTGAAGGACATGAACAGACACTTCTCAAAAGAAGACATTTATACAGCCAGAAAACACATGAAAAAATTCTCACCATCACTGCCCATCAGAGAAATGCAAATCAAAACCACAATGAGATACCATCTCACACCAGTTAGAATGGTGATCATTAAAAAGTCAGGAGGCAACAGGTGTTGGAGAGGATGTGGAGAAATAGGAACACTTTTACACTGTTTGTGGGACTGTAAACTAGTTCAACCATTGTGGAAGTCAGTGTGGTGATTCCTCAGGGATCTAGAACTAGAACTACCATTTGACCCAGCCATCCCATTATTGGGTATATACCCAAATGACTATAAATCATGCTGCTATAAAGACACATGAACACGTATGTTTATTGCGGCTCTATTCATAATAGCAAAGACTTGGAACCAACCCAAATGTCCAACAATGATAGACTGGATTAAGCAAATGTGGCACATATACACCATGGAATACTATGCAGCCATGAAAAATGATGAGTTCATGTCCTTTGTAGGGACATGGATGAAACTGGAATCCATCATTCTCAGCAAACTATCACAAGGACAAAAAACCAAACACTGCATGTTCTCACTCATAGTTGGGAGTTGAAAAATGATTACACATGGACACAGGAAGAGGAACATCACACTCTGGGGACAGTTATAGGGTGCAGGGAGAGGGGAGAGATAGCATTAGGAGATATACCTAATGCTAAATGACGAGTTAATGTGTGCAGCACACCAGCATGGCACATGTATACATATGTAACTAACCTGCACATTGTTCACATGTACCCTATAACTTAAAGTATAATAAAAAATTAATTAATAAATATATATTCCTCAATTAAAAAAAAGAACTCTGAGTGTACTGATAGCCAAGCTGAGACAGTAAAAAGCATGATATAGTAAAGTCATGATCAATTTGGACACATACTGATATTGGGCTAAGATGGAGATTAAAATATGTATATCAGTGTTAAAAAAAAAAAGAAAGACTGTTATGCAACACTCCAGAAACTCTTAAAACTCACATTTGATAAAGAGACTGTTACTCAAAACACTTCAATAACTCTTAAAACTCACATCTGATAAAGAGACTTTACACAAAACACTCCAATAACCCTTAAAACTGACATCCGATAAAGAGACTGTTTTGCAAAACATTCCAAAAACTCTTAAAACTCACATCTGATAAAGAGACTGTTAGGCAAAACATTCCGAATACTCTTAAAACTCGCATCTGATAAAGTGGCTGTTATACAAAGCACTCCAAAAACTGTTAAAACTCACATCTGATAAAGAGACTGTTTCACAAAACATTCCAAAAACTAAACTCACATCTGATAAAGAGACTGTTACGCAAAACATTCCAAAAACTCTTAAAACTGTACAGTAAGAAAACCACCTAATAAAATAGACCAAAGACCTTAACAGATACCTCACCAATTATGAGAACCATATAGGAAATAAACTCATAAAAGAATGCATTATATTGTGTAACGTTAGGGTAACATATTAAAACAATGAGATACCGCTACATACCTAGTAGAATGGCCAAAATCTGGAGCACTGACAACAACTGATATTGAGAATGTGCAGCAACAGGAACTCTCATTCAGACTGTGGAAATGCAAAGCGGTACAGTCACTCAGTTGGAGGACAATTTGTTCTTAGAAAAATAAACATATTCTCACCATATGATCCAGCAACTGCATCCCTTGGTAGTTACCCAAAGTAAGTGAAAATAAATGCTATCATAAAAACCTGTGAACAGGGATTTATAGCAGCTTTATTCAAAATAACTAAAATTTGGAAGCAACCAAGATGCCCTTCAGTAAGTGAATGGATAAACTATGGTACACACAATAGAACATAATTCAGCACTAAAAAGAAATGGGCTATCTTGTCCTCAAAAGATGAGGAAACTTAAAAGCATATTACTAAGTAAAAGAAGGCAGTCTGAAAAGGCTACTTACTATATAACTGCAACTATGTAACATGCGAAATGATGGAGATGGTTTGCAGGGTTAAGGGGATGATATGTAATAAACAGGAAGAGCAGGGATGACTTTTAGAACAAAGTGTTCTGTGAGGTACTATAAGGCTGGATACATGTCATTATACATTTACTCAAACCCATAGCATGTAAAACCACAAGAGTAAACCCTAATGTAAACTATGGCCTTTGGACAACTATGATGTCTCAATGTAGGTTCCTCATTTTAACAAAGGTACTACCATGGTTGGGGGAGGTGTTGAAAAGGGCGAAGGATACATATATATGTGCATTAGGGTATATAGGAAATCTATGTACTTCTTAATTCTGCTGTGAAGTTAAAACTGCCTTAACTAATGAAGTATATTTATTCTAAAAAGGAATCTAACCATCTAAAAATGTTTTTAATAACAAAAATTAAATCAATATTAAAAACCACTTCGCCATTTGTAATAAGAACTCTCACTAATAATGAATGCATAAAGAAAATGTGGTCTATACATGCAATGAATTATTACTCAGCCTTAAAAAGGAAGAAAATCTTGCCATTTGCAGAAACATGCACATACCAGAAAGATATTGTGCTAAGAAATAAGCCAAACAGGAACAAAGTATTACATAATCCCATCTGCAATAGTCTGGATGTATGTATTCCCCTCTAATTCCTATGTTGAAATCTTATCACCAAGGTGATAGTATTAGAAGGTGAGGCCTCAGGGAAGTGATGAGGTGAGGGCTCTTCCCTCTCGAATGGACTGGGAGTATATTCATTCTCTGCCACTCTTTTGTCTTCCACCATGTAAGGATGCAGGAAGAAGTCTCTCATCAGGTACCAGATGACAGTGCCTTGATCCTGGACTTCCCAGCTTCCAGAACTGTTAAGAATAAATTTCTGTCCTTTATTAATTACCAAGTCTGAAGGATGCTGTTGTTCCAGCTCAAATGAAGCCATGCTTCCTGTACAGCCTGAGGAACTCCAAGTATATAAAAATGTAAAACAGTTAAACTTACACAAACATAGAGCTGAATCTTGGTTACCAAGGGCTGAGGGGGAAGGGTAACTGGGGGGGTATTGGTCGCAGGGTATAAGTTTTAGTTATGCAATGAGTAAGTTCTAAATATCGAATCTACAGATCAAAGCCTGTAGTTAATACGGAATTGCATACTTAAAAATTTGTTAAGAGGATGGTATTGTTTCGATTTGTTTACTTGCCCAAATCTCATGTCAAATTGTAAGCCTCAAGGCTGGCTGTAGGAGGGGCCTGGTGGGAGGTGACTAGATCAGGGGGCAGACTTGCCCCTTGCTGTTCTCCTGTTAGTAAATTCTCACGAGATCTGGTTGTTAAAAGTGTATAGAACCTCCCTCTTCACCACCCACTTTCTCCTGCTCCAGACACATAGGACGTGCCTGCTTCCCCTTCATCTTACACCATAATTGTAAGTTTCATGAGGCCTCCCCAGCCATGCTTCCTCTACAGTCTGTGGAACTGTGAGCAAATTAAACCTCTTTTCTTTATAAATTACCCAGTCTGAGGTAGTTTTTTATAGCAATGGGAGAATGGACTTATACAGAGAATATATCTTAAGTCAGATGGTTGTATCCCAAAAGGGGCAGGGAGGGGGGAAGAAATTTGTGGAGGCAAAGGTTGTTTATCACACTGTTTGTGGTGTCAGTTCGATGGGTGAATACTTATCTCTACAGGTAAGTATATTTCGCATGTGGAAGGAATGTAAACAATTTGTAGCCAGAGGGAAAACTGTGGTTTATTAAAGACTGATAAAGATTCTTACTATTCCTCTTATTGAGATGTAGAAGCTAATTACTGTCTAATCTAATACTGTATGTAAAGGAAAAGAGAAGGATATAATTTTATTTTGGATTTAAGCTTGAGGTGCCTTTCGGATAGCTACAAAGAATCATTCAATGGAGAGCTGAACCTGTGGTCTAGAGCAGTGATCCCCAAACTTTTTGGCACCAGGTTTTGTGAAAGACAATTTTTCCATATACCAGGGTGTGAGGGGGGATGGTTTTGGGATGAAATTGTTCATCAGACATTAGATTCTCATAAGGAGCAGGTAACCTAGATCCCTCACATGCATATTTCACAATAGGGTTCATGCTCCTGTGAGAATTTAATGCTGTCATTCATCTGACAGGAGGCAGAGTGCAGGCAGTAATTCTTGCTTGCCTGCTACTCATCTCCTGCTGTGCAGCGCAGTTCCTCACAGGACACACATTGGAGCAGTCCATGGCCTGGGGGTTTGGGATCCCTGGTCTAAAGGCCGGAGAAGTCCAAGCTGGAGAGAAACACAACTGCTACAACACAGACAGCAGAACTGGTAATAAACAAACAACCAACAACAAAAAAAGAACTGCACATTGGGATGGATGGGGAATTGGATGAAACAACTGGATAAGCTATGTAAAGGAGAAGTAGAAGAATTCAGGAAAAAAAGACAAGCAGCATCAGTGAGGTCATGATAGAAACTAACACAGAAGAATTTCCAGGAGAAGATCATGAACAATAATTTGAAATGCAGGAATCCCCCCTTATCCATGAGGGATACATTCCAGGTCCCCTAGTGGGTCCCTGAAACTGTGTATAGTACCAAACCCTATATACACTATGTTTTTTCCTATATATACACACCCTTGACAGTTTAATTTATAAATTAGGCACAGTATGATATTACCGACAATAAAATGGAACAATTAGGTCAACATACTATACTAAAAGTTATAGGAATGTGGTGTCTCAAAATATCTTCTTCTACTGTATTCAACATATTCAAAATATCAAAATATTCAAGATATTCAAAATATCTTATTGTCTTTTCTGTCTGCAGTTGACTACAGGGAACTGAAACAACAGAAAGCAAAACTGTGGATAAAGGGGATTACTGTACGGCACAAGATTCAAGTAAGGCAGACTAGCGTATAGCCATTGGAGTTGCATATAATTTGGGTTAATGGGTAGCATTAGAATAAACCAATTAAGACTACATTGAATGAAAGTGCAAGTGAGCAGTGGAAATATTTGTCAGAGAATACAATTGTGAACAATCTGCTACAAATTCTCCATGTACAGATGAATTGACAGAAATGTATGGGGGGTTAGTTAAGGACCTGTGGTCAACTCAATCCTCCAGATGTTCTAGGATTTAGCCATGAATCAAGTAGGGCCTTCCAAAATCTGTCTGGGACCACACTGTTTCAGCAACCAGAAAAACCTCATTACAGGAGTTATGCTTTAGCACTAAGTGACTATTTATACTGCAAAATGCTAAAAGTGTTTACTTCCAGGTTGGCAGTAAAAAAACCTTTTCACTACATCATCTCTGTGACCAATGCAGTCAGTGTTCCAGACTTTGGTGACAGCAAGTCTTCCTGTCCCATGAGAATGGAACATACACTCTTTCCAGGTTCCATTCCAATCATGTAACAAATGTGACTGCCTCTTTGTTGCAGCATCGGAAAGACCAGAGACACATTTGTACTCAAGTTCTATAGCTTATAACCTGCATATGTCTACATGCCAGCATTATTTTATTAATGTGTATTTCCTTTAACCTGAATTTTACTTATTTCTATCTTTTCATTTTAATCCATGGACTCCATAAAGGCAAAAAATACAATGTAAAACAAAGTGAGGAATATATAAACAAATGACTCACCAGAGATTTATTCATTGTTTGCTGATCGTGAAAATGCACAGAGCACTCTGGAAGCATAGCTGTGATAACAGTCGAATGGAGTGGGTTAAGGAGAGAACTGATGTGGCTTGGTCCTAGATTCTCCTGCCCAAAATGTTCTACACAATAGCTGGAAAAGACTAAAACAACAAAAAAACCTCCCTGTGACAGAATAGTCATTCATGCCTCAATAAGGGACAACAAATATCCCACTGAAGATGTACCCACAAGTATATTAACTAGTAGAGATACATACAATTTATTTTGGGATTAATGAAAGCATGTATTACCTACTGATTTAGGGACAATTAATTTATCCAAAAAACAATGTAATAATTTAAAACAAAGAAATATACATTTAGTCTTCAATGAAATTAATATTATAGAAATATAATTCAGCTGCATTAACTATTTCACTACTAATATGGAGATTCTACATGATTCCATATAGGTGTTTCCACTAGAACACATCTTGCTTTTATACCTATGCATCATTGAAAGGATGCATCTTTTATATACCTAAGCATCATTGAAAGGATGTATCTTGCAACCCAACATTTTTTGCCTACAATTATATAGGGGGAAAAATGTACATATTGTATATTTCTTGGGATATACTGTTTTAGTAATGTTTCCTAGTGACAAGTCTCCCTGTATCTAAGACCTCATAGAGTGTGCTCTGATAACAAATGGGGCTCTGTCATTTGACTTGCTTTGGCCAATGGGACATAGAAAATATGATGAAAATGTAGGTTGGAAAAGTACTTGCCCACTGGTGCTTGCCTTCTTGAACAAGTGTCAGCATGAACCACCAGACATGCGAGTGAAGGCACCAGATGACCAAAGCCTCATTTGTGATCCAGACAACATTAGCAAAGGAAATGCCCAGGTGAACACACACCAAAATGTGAATCAACAGAACTTCTTTTTAAGCCATTGAGTTTCGTTGGTTCTTTACACAGAAAACAGTAACTGATACACCTAAGCCACCAGAACTTAATGTTTTTAAGAAAATCATGTGAAGGAGATAATGTGAAGTTACTTGTCAAATACAATCACTAGAACGTCACAACCTCATGTAGAAGTTTTGTAAATCACAATAAATGCCAACTTGATGGAAATCAGTGAGACTGCTAGTGCTAAGATACCATGTGAATCATAAAAAGCAACTCTTTGCATATTAGTAAACTGTGTTTTAAGGTTCTTTACATCATAAAAATGTCTGTTGACTTTAAAAAAATGCAAAAAAAGGATCTCTTACAAGTGAGCATTGTACTGTATTTTACTTAAGTTTTAAGATACTGGTTGGAATAGAAGTGAGACACTGTCTAATCTTCCCTTTTTAAATATGTAAAATACTCTATTGTTTTCCTACAGAATTTATAATTTCCAAGAACAGATTACTGACACTGAGCGGTAAACACTTGTGTCATTTGTCCTTGAGGTCACATAATTCACAGAAAGAGTTGGGTATAAAAAGGAACAGAGATGGTTAAGGAAATGTTTCTGCTTGGTTGGTTGGTTTGAGACAGAGTCTCATTCTGTCACCCAGGCTGGAGTGCAGTGGCACAACCATAGCTCACTGTAACTTCGCCCTCCTGGGCTCAAGTGATCTTCCCACCTCAGCCCCCCAAGTAGTTAGATCCACAGGTGCATGCCACCACGACCAGCTAAATTTTTTTTTTTTTTTTTTGTAAACACATAGGGTCTCCCTATGTGGCCAAGACTAGTCTCAAACTCCTGGGTGCAAGCGATCCTCCTGTCTTGGCCTCCCAAAATGCTATGATTATGGCTGTGAGACACTGCACCCGGCAAGGGAAAGTACTTTATTATTATTTTTTCCAGTGGGAGGGTTTGGTCAGGCAGTGAGCGGCTGAGAAAGTATTTTAAAGCAATGTTTGTTCTTAGTTGACTTCAGTGTCAACAAAAATCTAAAAAAAAAAAAAAGGAAAAAAAAGTTTTGACTTAACTGGGGCAAAATGAGTAACACTAGCCAAAAAGTCAGGATGCATAACATCTGTATATCATGTGACCCTGGCAAGTCCCAGCTCCTCAAAGCCAAATTTTTTTCATCTTTCTCATAAGGTAGAAATAGTTTGGCAAACGCTTACTGAACTACCAGGAAGAGCTACCAGGATAGAGGGAGCTTTGGCATATCACTAGATGCTAAATTTCGTGACTGGATGCTACATTTGGTGACAAGCTTTTTTTTCTTTTCCTTTTTTTTTTTTTTTTTTTGAGAGACAGAGTCTCGCTCTGTTGCCCAGGCTAGAGTAGGGTGGCACAATCTCGGCTCACTGCAACCTCCACCTGCCCAGTACAAGTGATTCTCTTGCCTCAGTTTCCCAAGTAGCTGGGACTATACAGGTGTGCACCACTATGCCCAGCTAATTTCTGTATTTTTTAGTAGAGACAAGGTTTCACTATATGTTGGCCAGGCTGGTGTCAAACTCCTAACCTCAGGTGATCCTCCCGTCTTGGCCTACACTACTTTTAAGAAAGTTCAGCCACTAGAAACAATGAGAAAAGATTGAAGGAATGAAAGTGTCTTTACAGAGTACTCCAGACAGATCCTCTCAGGAGTAACAGGTTATTTTTCCACCGAAGACCACACTATTAAGTCCCCTCCAATAAGTCACATCTCTTTGGCCCTTGCCTGCATTCGCAGCCAAACTCCCCTCTTCCTTCTGAATGTTGGTCCAAACCTTCCGCTACCACCCAGTGTTTGAGAGCTACTGGATAAGGTCTTATCAACCAAATCTTGGCCACTCTGGGGAGTGGGAAAATAACTGCTTGGGTCATACAAACTGGAATCTTCACCTGTGACGCTTCCTCTGCTTTGAAGTACCAGTGAGAAGGTTTGTCCAAAGAGGGGTTCTTTCAGGTGGGATTCCTAAAAGGCGCCCTCTTCCAAACTTTGTACTTACCTTATTACACAGAAAACAGGACCATCATCTGGATCCCCAACTTCCCTAGAAACCAGATCTTTTATAAACTCCTATAAACTAAAACATGGATGGGATGAGTAGGAATGGGACACAAGGAGAATCTTCACTTGCTGAAAGACACCGGGAAACCCTACTAATACACTCGCCAGGCAGTAGGACGGTGTGCACGCATTTCGTAGTCCTCTTCTGGGAATGAGGGGCATCTCCCTAGAACTGTCCATATGCTGATCTTACAATGGCGTGCACGGAATGCTGCACAAGGTCCATGCAGTGCCGGAGCGCAGCCTCCCCGCAGACCTCCCAGGCTCGGGCGGTCTGCAGACCCCTTTCCCGCGCCACCGGCTTCGCCCAGCCGCTTTGGCGCCTCTGGAACTGGCTTCAGTGCGGGGATTCCACGCCCGCCCTCCCAGCAGCGCCGCCCTTTCAGCCCCAGCCGGGGTCCGCGGCCCGCACCTGTGCGTCAGGCCCCGCCCCCTCAATATGTGCCCACGCCTCTGCTCCCACCAACTGTGGCACGTCGGTCCCGCCTCCCAGTGGTGCCTCCAAGCCCGCTGTCTCCTGTTTCATCCCACCACCAACCTGCAGGGACAAAGACCCGAACCCCAGAGCTTCCAGAACAGCCTCTTATTGCAGCAGGAGCCGGGATTCTCTGACGGAAGATGGCGGGAGTGGGCGGGGCGGCGTTTGAGCAAAGAGCCCTTCCCACCGTCCTGTGCTGGTGACGTGATTGGAAGCCGAGACTGCATTTCCCACTAGACATTGCAGTATTGAGGCGGGAAATTCTGTTCCAAGCGGGAGACGAGGATGGATAGGGATTGGTGTCTGTCCGCCTGGCAGACGTGTAATCTGGTTATTAAATCCTGGCTTGACAACTAGGCACACTGTGCAAATATTGGGAAAATTCGAATGCCGGCCAACTAGTCAATTATATTAGCAAGTAATCTTACTTTTTTTTTTTTTTTTTAGTTCTAAGTGTTGCTGTCACAGAAAAAAACTTTTTTTTTCCTTTTTTAACGGATTCTCCCTCTGTCTCCCAGGCTGGAGTGCAGTGACGGGATCTCAGCTCACTGCAGCCTCCGCCTCCCAAGTTCAAGCAATCCTCCTGCCTCAGCCTCCAGAGGAGCTGGGACTACAGGCATGCGCCACCATGCTCGGCTAATTTTTGTATTTTTAATAGAGATGGGGAATCCCCATGTAGGCTAGACTGGTCTCGAATTCGTGGCCTCAAGTGATCTGCCCACCTTAGCCTTCAAAAATGCTGGACTAGAGGACTAAAGAGAATAGAGAGACCAATATGAAATAGAGGACTAGAGAGACTAGAGAGACCGATATGGAGAACAGGATGATTGTTTATTTTAGGGTACTCACTGGATTCGTGGATTCATATCTAAAAATATGAGCACTGAACAAAGACTGAGCAGGGCTTTTCTAAGCAAACTTACAGAAGCAAAACAAAAGCAGTTAATCCTACAGTGACAGGTCACGTAATCTATAGCATAACTGTTGACTTGGCATAACTTGTGGCCTTGCATGGCTAGTGGCCTTGTAGCTGCATCAAAAGAAAAATAAGAACTGGCTAAATACAGAAATTTGTAAAACATCATCATGCTTAAGAAGCCAGGGAAAGGAGTAACAGTAAAGGAATTTGTCTTTCTTTCTTGTTTTTTTTCTTTTCACTTTGCTCTGGAAGTGGGAGTTGTCTGGAGCCTATTCCTTTGGCCTTGGCTTCTCAAACAGTGTTATAACTGTCTTTGAAGTGAGCTTACTAGGCAGAGGAAAACTTGTTCTTTTCTTTTTAACCTTTGCCTTGCCTGTTACTTTTCTTGGAGTGAATGAATGCTTATTTATTTTTAAATTTCTGCCTCAGTTTCCTCCTTTTGATGTCTTTTATAAAAGAAGTTTAATAGAAGGCATCACTATTACTTAATTCTGCCTGAAGAGACAAGTTTTCTTCTTTAGGCACAGGCTGATATTTATATAGATCCATTAGCTGAGTGGTAGTTTGCTTAGCTGCTTTTGCCTCTATAGTTGATTGAATGCTTCTAACAAGGAGGGGTAAGAGGGAAGGGAGTACTGGGCAAACTCTTAGTATGGCCAGGACTATTCTTATTGAAGTCTTGAATCCACTGAAGGAGGAAAACCAGCCTCCAAAGAGGGAATCTGGAGACTAACTTTTCCAAGTTTGAACTGGAACATGGGGTAATTTTCTCATTCTTGCAGTTATTTCTATAATTGCCTTTCCATTGTCATCGATTTCCAGGCAGAAATTAGTTAGATTGAACCTTCCACATTCTCCTCCTTCCTGGGCTTCCTAGCTAATAGTATAAAGCTAATCTGTTGTGATAAATAACATTCTTCATTTTTGTGGCTTGCTGGGCCAGTAAATCTAATGCTTTTGCTGTTTCATTAGTGATCATTTCAAGTACTGCCTTCAACCTTATGATATGGCTAAGCATGTAAATAGGAGTGCGGTACCCTCATGACCTATCTTGTGCCTAGGTAGCTGGCCTATAGTATTGAATTATTCTTTTAGGGGGGTAATCTGTGTCTTTCTAATTTCCTATTTCTGTATCTCTTTTTATGTCTGCATCTCTTTTGCTTCTTCTTCTAACTTCATCATAGACGGGATACCTTAAAGTTTCTCCCTGTTGCAGTGGGAGTAGGAGGAAAGATGGTCTAATTGTTTCAAACACACAGGACTTTGTCCATTTAGCTGGCAACTGTCGATATGCCTGTGGCTTACAGATGCCAATAAAGACCAAGGGGCGCTTGCCAAGTATTTCGAGCTTCAAGCTGATACTAGGTGTGGTTTAGAGGAGAGAAACAGGAGAACGGATTTGGTTGAGGTGCTTTGGAGTCATCTCTGCCTCGCCACAAAGTTTTCTTTAGTGTTTCATTATAATATTGCTGTCCTAAGAAGGTTAGTTCTCCTACTGCGTCTGTAAAAGCGTTTCTTCAGGGAGCAACACAGTATCTCCTGATAATAGAAGTTTTTAAGAGTCAGACGCTTGGACTTGTGGGCATCGGTTCGGAGGAAGGGTCTATTAGAGTCAAATTATTTTGTGGCATTAACTGTTTTGCTTCCTAAGGCCATTGGTCTACTACGTTAGTCTTTCTAGAAACATAACATGAAACGCCCATGCTGCCGGCAGTGTGTTCAGCCAGCTGAGCAAACAGGTTTTTGGCTAAAGGAGTAGGCTCTGGTAACTTCTGGTCTACATGCTTATAGAATGACTTAAAGATTTGGAACTGTTGCTGGGCTGGATGGGTCTGGGTTCTTTGTTTGATAACATATAGGAGGATTGCTGGGTATGTATGCATATACAAATGAATGGGGTAACATGCAGTCTACATGGGTAAGTCTGGCTTTAGAAGGGTGAAATTTACAGGATTACAGGTTTTTGCTTCACAATCTGGTTTCAACAGCATTTTGGTAAAAGCATAATTGACCTTTGTTGTGTGCTAGGGTGCTACGACATGCAAGGCCAAAAATCTTTTTCTGGGGTCCTAGGGGAAGAAGATAGAGTTACTCTTGGCATGCATACATATTTGTAGTCATTTTCTATAGTATCTTTCTAAAGGTAGGTTACCACAGACAAGGGAGTCTTGGTCTGCTGCCTGACAAGCATCAAAATACAGATAAATAGGCCCTTGGTTAAAGGGAGGGACCCTGGTTTGGTTTAAGAGGGGACCTTCCTTTGACCTCTCATGATAAGTCTCTGGGCAATGTTTCTTCAGTAACTGCTTGAGTGTCTGGTTCATGCGTTCTACTTTTCTTGAACTTTGCAGCCGACAGGCTGTGTATAACTTCTATTTTATTTTTAACATTCTTGTTAAATCTTGCACTCTTTCAGCTACAAATGCTGGCCTATTGTCTGACTTTAAAGTTACAGGCTGTCAAAACCTAGGGATAATGTCTTTTAGTAGTACTTTAGTCATTTCTCGTGCTTTTCTGTCTTGGTGGGGAATGCCTCAACCTATCCTGAAAAAGTGCAAATAAACACTAGCATAAACGGATAGCCTCTGGCACGGGGCATTTTGGTAAAGTCTATAAGCAAGTTTTCACAAGGCACGAAGGCATGGCTCCTTCTCCTGTTCCATTTCTTAGAGGAGAGGTTTTTTTTTTTTTTCTCTCTCTCTCTGTCTCTTTTTCTTTTGTACCTTCATATAATGGCTTAGCCATCAGTGAGAAATTTATAATCTAGATACAGCAGAATCTTGCTGCTTTAAACTTCTAATGTGACGATGGGCTTTTGGAGGCCTAATAAGAAGAAGCGTGGTCTGTTTTAGTCCTCACATCTTTCAGCTCCTGCTAGCCTGATCAGATCAGTATCTGGTTCCTCCAAGGTGCGGCAGCCTTTGGCCAATGGCCTCTTTGTCTTGCGGCCTTGGCCATTTCTTTCATTGCCTTCTGGACATTCATCTTTATAGTGTCCTTTCTTTTTGCATCTTGCACACTGATCCTTCTCTAGCCTTGGGCAACTTTGAAATACTTATCTAACTTGACTTATTCTATGTCCACACCTGTGTCCACGTCATCTTACATTGCTAATCTCTTTTTCTATAAAGGCTGCTGCCAACAGATCTTAAGCCTCCAGTCTGCTCCTTTCTTTGATTTCTGGTCACGGTTAACAACACTTTGGTGGCTACTTCTACAATCTGGGTGTCATTCATACCTGAAAAACTTTCTAACTTCTTCTTCTTTTTTTTTTTTTTTTTTTTTTCAGACGGAGTTTCACTCTTTCTCCCAGGCTGGAGTGCAGTAGTACGATCTTGGCTCACTGCAACCTCTGCCTCCTGGGTTCAAGCAATTCTCTGCCTCTGCCTCCCAAGTAGCTGGGATTACAGGTGCCTATCACCACTGCCAGCTAATTTTTTGTATTTTTAGTAGAGATGGGATTTCACCATCATGGCCATGCTGATCTTGAACTGCTGACCTCGTGATCCACCCACCTTGGCCTCCCAAAGTGCTGGGATTACAGGTGTGAGCCACCGCACCCGGCCAAAACTTTCTAACTTCTGAAGATTTCATTTGATATCACCTTGGGCCTGTCCTACAAATGACATATTCATTATACACTGATTTTCAGTGGCCTCAGGGTCAAACGGGGTGAAAGCCAGTATGCCTCACAGAATCTTTCATAAAACTGCCTAGGGCTTTCATCACTTCCTTGAAGCACTTCTGAAATCTTCTTTATATTAATGGCTTTCTTTCCACCATCTCAGTCTTTGCAGAAGTGCCTCTTGGTACCTCTGCAAACACTGAAGCTGAGTTGCATCCTCTGGGTCCTAGTTAGGATCTAGGTCGGGAACCGACCTTGAGTGTGTGCCTGAGCATGCGCTGTGTCTGCTGATGCCTGGGCTTCTATGCAGCGTCTGGAAACTGACCTTGAGTGTATGCCTGAGCATGCACTCTGTCTGCATCATGCCAGAGCATGCACTGCGTCTGCTGATGCCTGGGCTTCTAGCCAGAATCTGGAAACTGACCTTGGGTGTATGCCTGAGCATGCACTGCATCTGCTGATGCCTGGGTTTCTAGCCAGCGGAGAGCTGCCTAGGTTACTCCCAGGCACTCCTCAGTGTTAAATAACGTGAGAAGGAGCTGCTGGCAGTCTGGTCAGTTGGATTGTGTGTCAGAAAGATGGATTGCAACAGATCTATAAGACCTTGAGGCTTCTCTGTGTAGGAGGGAGTATGGTGTTTCCAGTTTAAAAGATCAGTGGTTGAAAAGGGCTGACTGATGAAAGTCCATTGCCTTCTTTGGACTTGGCCTTGGTCATCATAATAAATGGGTCCTCGTGTCTCCTAGAGAGGCATTTGCAGAGCTTGAGCACTGCCAGATCTGAGACAGCCTGCTAGACTATCTTGACTTCATTCCCTGGCCTCTCAACACTCTGATCCTCCCCTTCGTGGTGAAACTTGGGGCATGCTGGCTCTTGAGTCTGGCTCCTGTGGGGCTGTTGGACTTGGTAAAGGCGGATGGGCTGGGACATATGGAGGAAGAATCTCTGTTCTTTCTGGCAGCTCCTGCAAAACTGACTTTTCTTGCTCTCTTTGGGAATTCTTTAACTCTGTGTCTGCCAGTGAAGCTGCTCTTACTTTCACTCTTGGCTGAGCTCAGGCTACATATGTTTCGCGATAAGCTGCTGCACATGGCTGGATCCAGGCCGGTCTTATCTGCTATATTTAACCATGAATCAATATAAGGAAATTGATCTGGATGCCTTAGCTGTCCTCTGACTCTTGTCACCACCTTAAATATACAGCCAATTATTTCCTTATCTATAGTTCCTTTGGTCGGCCATCTAACACTAAAAGAAGGCCATTCTAATTACAGAGAGTTTTCCACCTCTGTGGGATTAGCTTAACTCCCTAATCCTCTGCAAAACCTTTCTTAAAGTTCTGTAACATGCACTCTAACGGGGTAAGTTTGATGACTTTCTTCCTATTCTTTCTTTTACGGCACAGCACACTCTTTCCTCTCATTTTGACCTTCCACACCGTCTCCTATTATGGGAGTTTTCAGAGGCTGCTTGGCTTTGGAGAGTTCCTTATTCCTGCTACAACTCTGAGCTATAGGGTAGTTCTTATTAGCTGTATGCAGATCGCTACTGTTCGTAGTCGGCCTTACACTTTGCTTGGAGCACACAGTCCACTCTAAGAGATCTGTGACTCCTTACTTCGCGGCTGATGAGCTTAATTAGGCCTTTGCATTCACACACGTCTCTACTCCTAGTTCCTGTGTACCTAAGTGGGGTGGCAAGCCACTCTCGGCGTCTCTAGTTTCTTTTTCTTAACCGACTTAGCAAGCCAGTCTCACATCTTGTGTCAGTTGGGGTGTGAGTTTCTTCTGAATTGGTGAGCCTTTCTCACCGCCTTTAGCCTCTCTGGGTTGTACTATTAGGCACACCTCGGGAGGTGGTCAGGCTCCTTTTCCATCCTTATGGGACGGGTCCTGCCTTGGGCCTTAAAACTTTGCTACAGTTCTTGAAGCGCACTGTTTCTGGAATCATCCTGTAGCCTTTCTTTAGGTTCTGTTGCGCTGCTGGGTAGGGGCACCGGGTCACGCGAAAGCCGATCTGCTCTCTAGGCTGAAGTCCTCCTGGTGGCGCCTGGGGTCACAGGTCTCCTGAGGCCTGGGGCTGTAGCCCCTAGAGGCAAAGGAGACAGTGAACTTGCTGTCTCCGGTCCCTTCATGGTTGCCAAAAATGTTGCGGGAAACTGAGGACTAGAGAGACTGATATGGAGAACAGGAGGATTGTTTATTTAAGGTATGCACTGGCTCAGATTTTTTTTTTTTTTTTTTTTTTTGTGATGGAGTCTGGCTCTGTTGCCCAGGCTGGAGCACAGTGGTGCAATCTCAGCTCACTGCAACCTCCGCCTCCTGGGTTCAAGTGATTCTTGTGCCTCAGCCTCCCAAGTAGCTGGGTTTACAGGAGTGCACCATCACACCTGGCTAATTTTTGTGATTTTGGTAGAGACGGGTTCTCTTCATGTTGGCCAGGCTGGCCTTGAACGCCTGACCTCAAAGGATCCACCCACATTGGACTCCCAAAATGCTAGGATTACAGGCTTGTGACACCATGCCTGGCCTACTTCTTTTCTAATCTAGATGGCTTGCATTTATTTCTGTTGCCAAATTGTCCTGGCTAGCACCTCCAGCATAATGATGAAAGGATGTAGTGAGAGTGGATTTATCTATCTTGTTCCTGATCTCAGGATATAAGTATACAGGCTTCCAATATTAAGTATGCTATTGGCTGTGGTTTTAAATATGCTCTTTATTAGTTTAAAAATGTTCCCTTCTTTCCTTCTCTGTTGAATATTTCATCATGAAAGGATGTTGGATTTTGTATCTGCAACTATTGAGATGACTGTGGTCTTGCTTATTGTATTGGTATGGTGTATTACATTAAATAATTTTTGGCTGCTATCCAAACTTGTATACTTGGGATGAATCCAACTTGGTCATGAGGTAGAATTATTTTTACATGTTGCTGTATTCTGTTTGCTTGTATATTATGCATTTATTTTTTATTTTTATTATTATTTTTTGAGATGGAGTCTCACTCTGTCACCCAGGCTGGGATGCAGTGGCACAATCTCAGCTCACTGCAAGCTCTGCCTCCTGGGTTCACACCATTCTCCCTCCTGCCTCAACCTCCCAAGTAGCTGGGACTACAGGTGCCCACCACCACGCCCGGCTAATTTTTTGTATTTTTAGTAGAGACGGGGTTTCACCATGTTAGCCAGGATGGTCTTGATCTCCTGACCTCGTGATCCCCCCACCTCGGCCTCCCAAGGTGCTGGGATAACAGGCGTGGGCCGCCACTCCCAGCCTCTCTGTTTGCTTGTATTTTATTGAAGAGTTTTGATCTGTATTCATAAGATATATTGGTCTGAATTTTTCTTTCCTCTTGATGTCTTTGTATGGCTTTGCTATCATGGTAATACTGGCCTCATAGAATGAGTTGAGACATATCTCTACCACTTTTATCTTTTGGAGAGTTTGGAAAGAATTGATCCTAAATCTTCTTCAAATATTGGACAAAATTCACCAGTGATTTCACCAGGGACATTTATTGCTGTAAATATAGATAATAAAAAAGAGAACTATTTCAAATCAATAACATAACTTTTGACATAAGGACACTGGAAAAAGAAGAGCAAATGGAAGCTAAAGTAAGCCGAACTTCCAGGGCTAGGGCTTTTCTTGGTGTGGAGTGTTTCTTTATTAGTAATTCAATCTCTTTGCTTATCATGTCTAGTGAGAGCATTTTTTATTGCATCAGTGTCACTGGTTTGTGTCTAGGAATTTTTCCATTGTATCTAAATTATCTAATATTTTGGCATACGATTGTTCATATTATTTTTCCTTAAATGTTCTTTTCTTTTTGCAATGCTGGTAGTAATATATCCTCTTTCATTTCTGATTTTAGTTACTTGAGTCTTCTATTTTTCTTAGTCAGTCTAGAAAAATGTTAGGAAAACTCCCTGCCGGAACTGAGCTGTCCTACATAATGGAGAGGAAGCTCTCAGACCAAAGAAAGAGATAGACCATTCCAGGCTGGTAGATAGTCAAAGATTTACTCAGGAGGAACTTACTGGGATAGCCTTGGGCAGCAGAAAGATGACGCAGATCTCCACATTTGCAGTGCATTCCTGTCTAACCTTTTACATCATGAAAATAAAAAGGGAAAAAAGAAAAAAAGCCATTTAAATTGCTCTCTTAATTTATTTACTTTCTACTTAAAGGAATTGTTTCGGTTTCCTACAATCTGGTCAACATTTTTAGGTGAGGGGAAGCAGGGGGATGATCCTAGCAACAGCAGTTATCTTGGTCCTCCAGTTCCTGTGTCGCACAACTCACTACTTCTTGGTAGTATACCCAAAATACATTTTCATGACAATAAGGTTTGTCAATTGTGTTAAGCTTGTTTGAATGTGCTTTTAGTTTCATTGTTTTTCTCTGTTGCTTTTCTATTCTCTGTTTCATTGGTTTCTGCTATGATCTTTATTATTTCCTTCCTTCCGCTTACTTTAGCTTCCATTTGCTCTTCTTTTTCCAGTGTCCTTATGTCAAAAGTTATGTTATTGATTTGAAATAGTTCTCTTTTTTATTATCTATATTTACAGCAATAAATTTCCCTGCAAGCATGTCTTTAATTGTCTTTCATTAAGTTTTGTATGTTGTGACTTCATTTTCATTCCTCTAAGTATATTTTCAAATTTCTGTTTGGATTTCTTCTTTGATTAGTAATTTGGATGTGTGTGGTTTAATTTCAACATATTTCAGTTTCCCTACTTTCTTGTTATTAATTTCTAGGTTCACTCTATTGTGATTGGAGTACATGCTGTTCAGTTCCTTTAATGGCCTAGTGTAGAGTCTATGATGGACAATGTTGATGAGCCCTTGAGAAGAATGTAGCTTCTCTTGTGTGGAATGTTTTGCACGTGTTTTTCAGGTCTAGTTGAACTATGAAGTTGTTTGAATCTTCTTTTTCCTTTTTGCTCTACTGGGTAGTCTTTCTATCCATTAGTCAAAGTGCCATATTGAAGTCTCCAGTCATCATCTATTTTGGCTGTCATTTCTGTCAGTTTTTGTTTCATGTACTTTGGTGATGTTTAATTGGGTGCATATATGTTTATACTTGTACTTTCTTACTGATGGATTGGCCATTTTGTTATTGTAAAATGTCCCACATTATCTCTAAAATTTTTTTTTTTTTTTTTAGACAGAGTTTCTCTCTTGTCACCCAGGCTGGAATGCAATGACGTGATCTCAGCTCACTGCAACCTACGCCTTTTTGTTTCAAGCGATTCTCCTGCCTCAGCCTCCTGAGTAGCTGAGACTACAGGTACATATCATCACAACCCGCTAGATTTTGTATTTTTAGTAGAGACGGGGTTCCACCATGTTGGCCAGGCTGGTCCTGAATTCCTAACCTCAGGTGATCTGCCCACCTTGGCCTCCTAAAGTCCTGGGATTGCAGGCATAAGCCACCTCACCTGGCCGATTTTTTTTGTTTGTTTGTTTTAAAATTCATTGTGTCTGATATTAGTATAGCTACTTTAGAATAGCTTTCTCAGGGTTACTGTTTGCATGATATATGTATTTCCATCCTTTTACTCTATTCATATCTTTGAATCTAAAATGTAGATGGCATAGAAGATCTTATTTTTTATTGTCTGACAAGAATTAACTTTTGATTACGTTGTTTAATCAAGTCATATTTAATATTATTATTGATATAATTATATTCATATCAGACATTTAATTTTTGTTTTGTATTCCTTATATGTACTTTTAATTCTCTAGTTCCTGTTTTCTGCTTCCTTTTGCAAACAGTGAATATATTCTTTCTTTTTCTTTTTTTTTTTTTTTTTTTGAGACAGAGTCTCTCTCTGTCGCCCAGGCTGGAGTGCAGTGGTGCGATCTTGGCTCACTGCAAACTCCGCCTCCCAGGTTCAAGTCATTCTCCTGCCTCAGCCTCCTGAGTACCTGGGACTACAGGCACCCGCCACCATGCCCAGCTAATTTTTGTATTTTTAGTAGAGACGGGGTTTCACCATGTTGACCAGGATGCTCTTGATCTCTTGACCTCATGATCCACCCGCCTTGGCCTCCCAAAGTGCTGGGATTGCAGGCATGAGCCACCACGCCCAGCAACAGTGAATATTTTCTAAAATGACAATTACATTTCTTTAATGATTTTAATACTCTGTTTTTGGCTTATTATCCTAGTCAGCGTTCTTGGGATTACACTGTAAATCTTAACCTATCAGAATCAGCTTCAGATTCATGCTAATTCAGAATAGTTTCAGTTAGACACAAAAACATTACCGCTACCTTGCTCCACACCCTTCTGCACATAGCTTTGTACCCTACGTAGTTCTACACCCTTCTTATTGTAACTTTTTAAGGTATTATTCTTATTTGTATTACATCTATAAATACTAAAAACTCAACAATACATCGTTATAATTATTACATCATATAACCATGTCTTTTAAGAAGCTAAGAGGAAAAAGTAAAGCACAGAAATATTTAAAATTTTAAGTTACTTCTTATTTATCATTTATTATTCTCTTCATTTGTTTTTATAGATTTGAGTTGTCTGTAGTCTGATATATGGAGTTGCGGTCTTAATCCAATACAGCTTTGTTCCCACTCACCTCGGTTAGACTGTTATTGGCAAACATATTAAATTTTGTATGTCACAGGACAAACGATACATTGAATAGACATTGTTTTATAAATTGCTTTCCAAATCAAGAGAAAAAATAGAAAAATGTGCATTTATACTGCCGTTTATTATTTTCATAATATAAAATATATTAGTTTTAGAGTTTCATATTTACCTTTACTGATGCGTGTGTGTGTGTGTGTGTGTGTGTGTGTAAATTTGGATTATTGTCTGGGGTAATCATTTTCAGCCTGAACAACTTCTTTTAATATTTCTTGTAAGATAGGTCTGGTAGCAATGAATTATCTCAGTTTTGTTAATCTAGGTATGTCTTTGTTTCACCCTCAGTTTTTAACCATAGCCATGGTGAATACAGGATTTTTTCTTCAGACATTTTATATGTTATTCCCCTTCTTCCTGGCCTCTATTGTTTCTGGTGAAAAATCAGCTGTTAGTCTCCTTGGGATTCCTCCTGCTTATAACAGTTTTAGAGGATCCCTTTTAAGCTCAATGGCTCCTCTTTCTTTATCTCACTTTCTGCTTTCAGCGTTTCCTATGTTTCTTTAGCTTTTGGCATCATTACTATGATGTGTCTGTGGATCTCTTTGTGTTTGTTTAATTTGAAGTTCCTTGAGTTCCTGCATGTGAGTAAAACTTTATTTGCTCTATGCTCTTGGGACCATTTCCAGAGACTGTGAATGCGTATTTTTGTTTTGTATAGTTTTTGAAATTTTCGCTAATTTTCAGAAGAGAACTTATTTCTCATGCACCTTCCTATGCAGGTCGGTGAGGGACATGTGGTACTCTGCAGATGCAGGTGGGTGAGGGACATGTTGTACTCCACAGATGCAGGTCGGTGAGGGGCATTTGGTACTCAACAGATGCAGCTGGGTGAGTGGTATTCCAGAGTGCCTCAGGGACTAGGCTGTTGCTAGCTCTGACATCTTACAGCTGCTCCATCTAGAGCACATTGTAGGTTGCACAACTGTAAGTGGACCACATAAGAGTAAGTTTCCCCCTGCAACTTGATCAGGAGCTAGGCAGACTTAGGGATAAGCCAATGCAACTGAGCTCGGTTCACGTGCCATGAGGTGACCCCTTTTCCAGCTCCCAGGGTATCTCCTGGGTCCGCAGAGAATTTGCTTCCTTCTGCCTCCTTGCTGGTTTGGACGTTGTTATTTAACCTGGCTCAGTCCTGCCTTCCAAATAGCTTTCCTTAAAAGTTCCCATAATATTTCCCACAATCAGAGGTCAAAGCAGTCAATAACGGAAATCAGTACCAACTTTGAAATAGATGAAGATGAGTTAGTTTCCACTGAGACAAGTTTCCAGTGGGGTTCTTGGGGCCTCAGACTTGGTGGTAGTGGGGTGCCAGTTGTGTGGAATTTGAAGCTAATCTGTAAGTTGAAAAATTTTGGATTTGGAGGATAGTCAGACTTCACTGGGATTTAGAAAGATAGAGGTCACCCTTCAACTGGTGGATGAGAACGTTTGTGTCCAACAAAAACACTTGGTGGAACATGACACGGCTTTCAATCATCACTTTGTCCATGCTGGGGGCTTGTGTGTGGTGCTGAACAAAACTGAATGTTCCACTTCTCTTTCCCCTGATTTTACTACTATGGAGAACATAGTTTAAATGGTGGCCAGTAATACGTTTCTCTAAACACTGCCATTGAATACATTAAGGTAATTTCTCAGGGGAAAGAAACACATGACGTGCTTATGGGAGCAGCATGTGGCTGATTTGTAGACTCCCTGAAAGATGGTTGGCATCATTCCAAGGTTTTCTAATTTTTATGTTTCATTTAGTCCAGTTTTGGACTTGACTATTCCAAGGTTTTCTGATTTTTGTTTCATTTAGTCCAGGTTACTATGACTTGTCTTATCCCACTGATATGTTTTGGATGTTTTCTCCCGTCCAAATCTCTCATTGAAATATGGCCTCCAATGTTGGAGGTGGGCCCACTGGAAGGTATTTTGTTCACGGGGACATATCCCTCATGGATGCTTGGTGCTGTCCTCATGGTCACGAGCAGGTTCTTACTCTGAGTTCACATAATATCTGTTTTTTTTTTTTTTTTTTTTTTTTTTTTTTTTTTTTTTTGAGACAGTCTCATTCTGTCACCCAGGAGGGAGTAGAGTGGTGCGATCTTGGCTCACCACAAGCTCCACCTGCCAGGTTTATGCCATTCTCCTGCCTCAGCCTCCTGAGTAGCTGGGACTACAAGCACCTGCCACCACGCTGGCTAATTTTTTTGTTTTTTAATATAGACAGGGTTTCACCGTGTTAGCCAGGATGCTCTCGATCTCCTGACCTCATGATCCGTCCACCTCGGCCTCCCAAAGCACTGGGATTACAGGTGTGTGCCACTGCACCAGGCCAAGATCTGTTTATTTAAAGAGGCTGGCATCTCCCTAGTCTGTCTCTTGCTCACACTCACCATGTGATGGCCAGCTCACTCTTAGTCTTCTGCCATGATTGTAAGTTTCCTGAGGCTTCCTTAGAAGCAGATGCCAGAGCACCATGTTGCTTGTATAACCTGCAGAACTGTGAGCCAAATAAACCTCTTTCTTTATAAATTACCCAGCCTCAAGTATTTATTTATAACAATACAAATGGAGTAAAACACAGACCAACTGAAAGCATGAATACCTCTTTGAATCAGGCCACTTCACTGTGAACTATGGCTCGTAATCATCATCATACCCCAACAAAGACTATGAACAATAGGACTTGAATACTGTAGTACTCTCTCTTTTGCCTGAATTTTGAATTGTTTGATTTTAATGTTTTCTTTGCTGAAATTCCTGTTAAGGGGCGCATTTAAGTTTCTTGGTATTATCCTTCTGATAACCAGCATGATGTCATCACTAATGTATTGTACTCACTTAAAAGTCTTACATACTAGTATGCAGCACATTCTTTGTACATCAACTAGTCTCATTATGATTGGAGTAACAAAACCTTGAAGAAAACATGAGAATCATGTAATTATTTTGACATCGTGGACTATGAATACCGTACTGAGATCAAAAAAATTCACCATGATGATGACAGAAGGTGGTGTCACTGCTCATGCCTTTGGTCGGTCTCACAAAGCTCCCTCTCCAAAGTAGCTAATTGTTAAATCAAGTTGGGCATAAAGCTGCCTCTGTACATGGTGAACTGTAACATGACTGAATGTGAACACAAACTATAAACCAAGAGTATACATTCTTGTGCCAAGGAGCCAAGTCTTGGCTGAAGGTTCCTGCAGCCAGTCTCAGGCTGAAAGCTGCGAAAACATGACCAAATAAGGCAAATGCTGACTGCAGCCAACAAAGGCTCTCTGTATGTCATATTTTTCTGGCTGTAAATATAGCTTGCACCCCCTTGTGTGGTGGAGGATTCTGAATCACATTTGTCCTGAGTGCTACCCAGTTTATGAACCTTTTTCTGCCCGACTAAACTCTGTGAAATTGAACTTGTCTAAGGCTTTTATTTTAACACCCCAAGCCCTAACCCAGAACCAGACCCTAACCCTAATTTGAATCAGGCCACTTCACTGTGAACTATGGCTCTTACTCATCATCATACCCCAACAAAGACTATGACGAATAGGACTTAAATACTGTAGTATTGAGTGGCCAAGGGAGGACAGAGCATCCAGGAGAGAGAACTGAGTGTGGCTGGATACTACTCAGGGTCTGCGAGGGAGCTGAGGATGGAAAGGAACCACCAAGGGTCTCAGTGAGGTTGGAGGGGCAGCACTGAGCTGAGGGCTTGAGGAGACAGAGGAGGAGCAACCCTGAGCACTGGAAATGACTGGGAAGACCAGAGGCGGTGGTGGTGGAGGAGCATAAGCTGGCAGTCAGCAGGACAGGCCAGGGGTCTGCTGGTGGCAGCAGGGCCCCGGGTACTACCACAGGAGGCACCCCCTGTGTGCAGGTCCACGGGTTCCCAGTACCATTGCCTCTCACCAAGCATGTTAAAAATTCCAAGGGGTGTTGGACTGGCGCCTCGGTTCACACCTGTAATCCCAGCACTTTGGGAGGCCAAGGAAGGCAGATCACAAGGTCAAGAGATCAAGACCATCCTGGCCAACATGGTGAAACCCCATCTCTACTGAAAATACAAAAATTATCTGGGCATGGTGGTGCGCACCTGTAGTCCCAGCTACTCAGGAGGCTGAGGCAGGAGAATTGCTTGAACCCGGGAGGGAGAGGTTGCAGTGAGCTGAGATTGCGCCACTGTACTCCAGCCTGGTGACAGAGCAAGACTCCATCTCAAAAAAAAAATTCCATGGGGTGTTTTAAGGACCCCCACGTCAGACCCACCCAGGACCCTAAGTCCGGTCTCAGACGTGGGCCCAGGCAAGAGGTGCATGGCCTGTGGTCCTTGCAAAGGTTGGCACCTGGGTCCCCAACAGGCATAGGAGCACAGCTTTGGCCAGAAGAGATTGGCAATTTCAGCCATGGGACATTTCAGGTGGCAACTGGAGCTGTGGCCACCCTGGTGACACTGAATCAGGCTCGCTGTGCCCTTCACACAGACACCCAATTACTAAGATGAGGGGCTTTGCACTAAATATTTGTTCACTAAGTTAAAGTCCACTGTTTGCATCCAATTATTTTTGTTATTGTTTTGCAAACCTAAAAGTCTGTATCAATATCTCATGGCTAGATTTCTGAAGCAAAAGCTACAGGATCTTTGTTTGTACGAGTGTGTATGTGTGTGTTTATGTGTATGTACGCATATTTTCTTACGTGTTTTTGATCACAGGCAACAAATTTGGCTTAAACTTAAAGAGTCCTCATAAATTCAATAATTCGCCCAAAAGTTTTTCATGTTCACATGACTTATTGATCAAGCTATTTCATACTTATCTCTGCCACATACTATAAGGTGTCAGAATTTGGCATAAAATTTATAAAATTGACCAGGCGCAGTGGCTCACCCCTGTAATTCCAACACTTTGGGAGGCCTAGGCGGTTGGATCATGAAGTCAGTTCGAGACCAGTCTGGCCAATATGGTGAAACCCGTCTCTACTAAAAATACAAAATCTAGCTGTGGTGGCGGTCACCTGTATTCCCAGCTACTTAGGAGGCCGAGGCAGGAGAATCTCTTGAACCCAGGGGGCAGAGGTTGCAGTGAGCAGAGTGGTGCCACTGCACTCCAGCCTGGGTGGCTCAGTGAGACTCCGTCTCAAAAAATGAAAAGTTATAAAACTATAAAGCCAGCCACCAAACAGAATCATCTCTGCTTTTGTGGTTTTTAAACCAATAAGATGTTAATGTTGCGGTTTAATGAAAACAGCTAAATCTTAAATTATTGGTAAAATAACCATGTATCTTAAGGTTCTTAGGTAATCACCTGAAACTGACAGGCTACAAAAATAGGGTGGACGTGAAGTAGGTAGCTACGCCACCCTGGCAACACTATAGGACAAAATAAAAATTGGGTGGCCACTGACTTGGCCAGAAGGGGGACAGTGTTAACCAAAAGTGGAAATCTAAGGCCCCCCAACAGCCATCTGAATGGACCCATCCTCTTGGCAGAGGCCATTCCGGAGTTAACCTGAAACTCTAGTTCAGGCCATGATGAAAACGGGCTTGGAAATGCCTCATTGTACCCCTCCAGCATTAACATCAATACAAACCTCAAGTGTAACAAGAAACATTTACAATCTATTTTCTCTGAGGCCTGTGACCTGGTGGCTTCATCTGCATGATAAAACCTTGGTCTTCATAACTGCTTATTGTAACACAGGCATTCCTTTCTTCTAATAACTCTTTCAATCAATGTTTAAATTTATCTATGACCTGGAAGCTCCCCACCCTACCAGATCAAACCAATGAAAATCTTACATATATTAATTGATGTCTCATTTCTCCCTGAAATGTATAAAAGTGGTTGCACGTGGTGGCTCATGTCTGTAAACCCAGCACTTTGGGAGGCCGAGGCAGGTGGATCACAAGGTCAGGAGTTCGAGGACAGTCTGGTCAACATGGTGAAATCCCGTCTCTACTAAAAATACAAAAATTAGCCGGCTGTGGTGGCGGGCCCTAGTAATCCCAGTTACTCTGGAGACTGAGGTAGGAGAATTGCTTGAACATGGGAGGTGGAGGAGGTTGCAGTGAGCCGAGATTGAGCCACTGCCCTCCAGCCTGGGTGACGGAGAGACAGAGAGAGACTCTGTCTGAGAAAAAAATAATAATGTATAAAAGCAGGCTGTATCACAACCACCTTGGGCACATGTCATAAGAACCTCCTGAGTCTGTGTCATGGGTATGTTCTTAACCTTGGCAAAATTAAGTTTCTGAACTAAGACCTGTCTCAGATATTTTGGGTTCACATAGGAAATAAAAATATAAGCATCGTCTACATGTTGTTTCATAACATGTTTTACTCATTTAAGGACATGTCATCAATACTGACTAATTTGCATTGAATTCTCGCTATGTCCCAAGTACAGTGTGTCCTGGGCACTTTACATTAAAACCCATTTAATCTTCCTAAAAATCCATTTTACAGATGGGGGATGTGGGGCTCAGAGCCCTTGATAATTTACCCAAGGCCACAGAGACAGTAAGTATAGAGCTCAGATGTGAGTCCAGGTGAGCTTGCTGCCAGCTGGAACTCTTAGCCATCACTCTACACTGCCTCTCTGAGAGAGAAGATCCTTGAAATCCATTTTTATTCTCCTAAAGGTTGTGGAGTTGTCATTTGAATGCATGTGAATAAATTTAAATAACTAATTTCTTACTGATAGACATCCAGATAATTACAGATCAATAACTGCATGCATCTGTGTGCATTCCAAATATTTCCTTTTGATAAGTTCCTGGTAGTGGGATTGCTGCATGAAAATTTATCTTAAGTGCAAAAAGAAGTTAGAGCTTCCCAGAGCTGTGTGAAGGAGGAAGATCTGTGTTCCCAGCCTGCTTTAGGGAGTTAGCATTGATCTCGTGGTTTGGTAAGAGTGTGGACTGCAGATGCAGCCTCGTAACCCACAGCTATGTTCAGAGTGCTCCTCTGCCGTGGGTACTGCATCCCATGGGAGGGTGTGAAAGCACTGGTAATGGTGGTGGGAGTGCACCCCAGTTCTTACAGTGCACCCCAGTTCTTACTGTGCACTCCAGTTCTTACTGGCTGGCACTATTGGCTCAACCTGCATCTGGTGTTGCCCTTCAAGCAGCAGTGAATAAAGTGGTAAAAAAAGAAAAATCTTTAGAAGAAAGGAACTCCTATGTGGATTATGAGATTAGGGCTAATGAAAAGCATGTCCCCAAAGAAGAAACGGGTATCCCAGCCCCTCTTCAATCATGAATAAGCTTTTGAATGGTTACCTCATTTGTAATTTCAGGTATATGTTTAATATCTACGAAAGGATTTGGAGCCCAATATTCAAACTGATCTGTTTACATACCTCCATATTTCTAATCCCAATTCAGATTTTCTTTAGCTGGTTGTGTTCCTGGACCAAATCAAGATTCTGGCTGCTTGTTCTCATGGTCCAGTAATGAGATGCAGACAAACTTGGAAAGAAGAGATTTTATTTCTGTAACCAGGTATAGGGAGAAGGCTGGGGAAAACATCACCAGACAAACTCAAAGTTACCAAGTTTTTCCAGAGCTTATATATCTTCTAAGCTGTATGTCTGTGTGTAAGTGTGCATTTTCCTAAGGACAAAAGTGACTGATTCCACCTAATCTATAACTAAGTTCTGGGTCCTGGAGACCTTCCTCCGGAGCCTCAGTAAGTTTGCCTAATCTAGATGGGGTCCTGGTGCTGGAGGTGATTACTGTTATCTTGTCTCCAGCTAAGGTGTGGAGGTCTGGGGGAGTTTCTTCAGACATCCAACAGAAGTTTTTAATCCTAAATGCATCCTGGTGTGAAGAATGTAAGAAATTCTTTGTTATCTTGTTGCGCTTCAAGGCCCAGGAAAGGCCTAGGCCAGACTTTTTGTCTGCTATTGTTATGTTCCAGCCTTTGTGTAAGGGCAACTCCTCGTTCAGCCTTTAATATTTAACCTAACCAGTTCAGTCAGTGTGGAAGCTCTTGTCATGGAGTCCTTCCTGTTCAACTGTTAATGAGACCTGATCTGCCACAGTTTTGCTTGTCTTTTCCAGTATTTCTGAGATCAGCTGGAACCATCAACCTGCACAGGAAACAGAGTCTCTCTAAAAGAAAGAAAATACTCTTGTTTGGGAATAGAGCATTGAATAGAAATATGTGTGCCATAGTAAACCATGTGCATATGCAGGGAGGTAAAGACTCTGCTAGAACATTTGTATGTTGCTGTAAAGAAATGCCTGAGGCTGAGCTATTTATAAAGGAAAGAGGTTTAATTGGCTCATGGTTCTACAGGTCTGATAGGATGCATGGTTCTGACATCTGCTTCTGGTGAGAGCCTCAGGAAACATTTATTCATGGCAGAATTTGACGTTGGAGCAGGCACATCACATGGTGAGAGCAGGGGCAACAGAGGGAGGGGAGAGATGCCACACCTTTTCTTTTTTCTTTTTTAGACGGAGTCTCACTCTGTCACTGAGGCTGGAGTGCAGTGGCGTGATAACGGCTCACTGCAACCTCTGCCTCCTGGGATCAAGCGATTCCTGTCTCAGCCTCCTGAGTAGCTGGAATTACAGGCATATGCCACCAAACCCAGCTATTTTTTGTTATTTTTAGTAGAGAGAGGGTTTCACCATGTTGGCCAGGCTGGTCTCAAACTCCTGATCTCTAGTACTCTGCCCAACTCAGCCTCCCCAAGTGCTGGGATTACAGGCGTGAGCCACTGCGCCCAACCTCCACACACTTTTAAACAACCAGATCTCACATGAATTCAGGGTGAGAACTTATCACGAAGGGGATTGTGCTAAACCATTCATAAAGGACCTGCCCCCATGATCCAGTCACCTCCCCAGGCCCCACCTCCAACAATGGGGATTACATTTCAACACGAGATTTGGAGAGGGCAAACACCCAAATTACATCAAAGACAAAGGTTTTCAAAGGAAAAAATGAAGAAGGTTACATAATTGTTTTGAAATAATTATCCTTGGCTACAAAAATCAATAACGATCGTGACGCCTGTCCATGGTTGGAAGGCAGTAGTTACTGGGCAGGTGTCCTTACAGAATTTTTTTTTTTTGTATAACGTTGTCATGGACTTTGTGCAAGGTTGTAATTTTTGTAGAATCTTTTTCATCATCAGGCATACACACATGAGAATGCTCTCTTCATGGCCTTCCCCAGCTTGAGCTGTCAGAATTTTGTTATCACTAGTGACTCTATTTTGATTGAGACAAATTTCACGTTTCCCCTCCCTTTTGTGCTCCAGATCTTTTTCCAAAAGCATCACTGATCAATCATCTTTTAGTTCTGTTTTGATGGCCCTTGGTGCTAGGATGGACCTATTTTGGTTTTTGGTCTCGTCCCACATTGAGGTGGGGTTAATTGGCACTTAAGAGTCAGTGTCAAAATCCTTTTAGGCACATTTGGAGCAAGAAGGGAGATTTGAAGGGAGTAGTTTTCAGGCTAAGTCTACCTGGAGTTCATTATTAAGTTCAATTTTGTCTGTTTTGTAGTCTTTTGCTATCATCTCAAAGTGCTGTACCGGCATTATTCTGTTAGGAGTTGAACTTTTGAAAAAAAACTTAAGTAATGGATACACAGTTTAAAAAGGGAAATTATGAACTAAATAGTAATAGGACAATTCTAGTTTGCATAATGGCTTTGAGCCATTAATCTCGCCTTACATAGAGCTAATTGAATAAATCAAATGACAATAAGGAATCAGGTGAGATGGTGTAACCATGAGGCCTGTCTTCTTCTTTTGTGTCTATAAATTTCTAATTTCCAGGAGAAATTTATCCAGGTACAGCATACAGTATTGACAATAACATAGTCATTTTCTCATTGAACCAAAGGATACTTATGAGCAGAAGCTATTGATTGTGAATTTTCATTCACATCATTATTCTGCCAAGTGAAAAATGTAGCATTAAGGAGGAGGAAGGGTAAAAATCTCATCACATGCAGTCCTGTTCTAATGACCTGGGAAAATCTGTTCTAATGACCTGGGAAAATCTGTTCTAATGATCTGGGACAATCGGCATGAAAACATTAACTTCTCCTGCTTTGTAGTTTGAATGTCTTTGGTCATGACATCAGGTGGTTTGGTGAACTCTTTCTGTGATCCATACACCAGGCACATGTTTATTCTTTAAAATTTATCTAGTTTCAGCTCATAGGGCTTTAGTAACAGAGCAACTTTTGCTTTTAGTTGGAGAGTTGTTGCCAAATTTGGAGAAATACATTAGGAAAATTCAAGATCTAGTATAATCTACATGTAGATAACAAGAACTTGAAAAGCATGCACAGGTTTACAATCTACTCACAGATGCATTATAGTTTTTCTTTAGAAACAGAACTTTCTCTCTACATTAATCTACAAAAAGTTCAGGTTTAAAAACCTCTTAAGCCAAAGCAAGGGAGGTTTTAGATTTTACTTACAATCTTAAAGTTCTTGGGCCTGCCAGGATGTGACAATTTTTACTCATTCACTGTCAGGCGGAAGCACTGGAAGCCAGGCACTTTATGCACCTTCTTAAATATGAGATTTCAGTCAAAGCCTTAATAATATAACCAATGTTTTCAATGACATTCTGTTTATGAAGAGAAACAGATATTTATTGAGTAAAAATAAAAGAATACTCACAAATGTTTTCCAAATTTTGGAGGAATCAAGTAGGGAGACAAAATGAATGCTTCCATCTTTGTTCAAAAAATTATACTTTAGTGAATTTTTGTAAACTGTAGGTAGCTTACGAGATAAAGTTTTCTTAAATCTGGAAAACAAAATATTTCACAGCCAATAATGTTTCAAATAAAAGTCATAAAAACATCATCTTCGTGAACCACTTAATTTCATGTAGTTGTTTTGTTTAATCTTGATTAACAGTTTTATAAACCCATCAGTTTATTCATTTAAGCTCTGGAGATTTTTTTTTAGTCTACTGATCTTAAATTACCAAAAATTTGGCCAGGTGCAGTGGCTCACATCTGTAATCCCAGCACTTTGGGAGGCTGAGGCAGGTAGATCACTTCAACTTGGGAGTTTGAGACCAGCCTGGGCAATATGGAGAAATCCCATCTGTACAAAAAAATACAAAAATTATCCAGGAGGCTGAGATTAGAGGATTGGGAGGTAGAGGATGCCATGAGTCAAGACTGTGCCACTGTATACCAGCTTGGGCAACAGAGTGAGACCTTGTCTCAAAAAATTTATCAGAATTCTGTGTTCAAGAGTATTTGTTATTTTCTATGAAAAGCTGTTTTGGACTACAGCAGATTGCAAATGCTTTTAGAGAAATTTTCAAAACAACTGTGAATGACAAAAACTTGGAATAGCCATGATTTAAAATCTGATCAAATGTCCCAATTGACAAGGAAACTTGGTTATTTTTATTACATGCAACCAGAATCATGACTGACTACATCACATCAGGACCATCAGACTTTTATTAACTTCAAGTTATATTGGAGTAAAACACTGTTTTTCTAGATTTTTCAGGATATAAATTTCAGCATCAGGACATAACAGCAGAGTTGGAACCACAGAAAAAAAAGGTACAAGAGTTGACAAAAAAAGAAAAGTTATCACCTCAGCCAAGATGTTGTGCCTTTTTAGGCAAGAAAAAGGGGGAGCTGAATCTCCACCCTCAAACTAGGCAAATTAAATAGATCTCAGAAAAATATTTGACAGAAATGGAAATTGTCTGTAGTTTAGAAGACGGCTGTTAAGGGAACAGATTTCAGAATTAAAACTCAAAACCTCTTGCAATTTTATGAAAACTAAATCAATACTTTAAGAAAACCTTGTTGTTCTAACATAGGGGACCATATTTTTTCAGTTTTGTATTAGTGTATTTTTAATGCCAAAGCTCAGTCCTTAGAAAGACTTATAATTTAATTTTCTTCTGATCATAACAAACTTGGTCACATGCAAAACATCTTGCATAAATTCTCTTTTCACAAATGAGTTACTCAGACCATTGTTGACATGCTTGGGCTTTCCACTTTATCCTGTACTTTCCCTCTTAAATAACTAGCCATTTTAGTTTAGGATGAAAATTTACCACACAAGATTCTTTGTCATGTGAAATATTTCTTTTCTTTTCAACCTTCTCCTATCTCCATCTCCCTATCAATAACTTTCTTCACATCTCTCTCTTCTACTTACTGGTTCTTCTTTAACATTTCACTGTCTTTCCTGAATCAATATTTTGAAACAAGCTTTAAATAACCTTCAAATTATATAAAATTATTATTTCTTTCTCAATAAAGAACATGTTTTTATGCATTTCTTATACATTTTTTCTTATTAAAAACTCATCCTACTTTTTAAGGCACACTTTTATATAGAATTATATATGTTAGGCCAGGCATGTTGGCTCACACCTGTAATCCCAGCACTTTGGGAGGCTGAGGCAGGAGAATTGCTGGAGCGCAGGAGTTTGAGGTTGCAGTGAGCTATGATCATGCTACTGCATTCCAGCCTGGGTGACAGAGTGGGATCCTGTTCCCCCACACCACAAAAAGAATTATCCGTATTAATTACAATTTTATTATTTTATTTTATTTGAAACAAGTCTCACTCTGCCACCCATGCTGGAGTGCAGTGGCACAATCACAGTTCACTGCAGCCTCAACCTCCTGGGCTCAAGCAACCCTCCCACCTCAGCCTTCCCAGTAGCTGGGACTACAGGCTTGTGCCACCATGCCTGGCTAACTTTTGTATTTTTTGTAGAGACGGCATTTTACCATGTTGCCCAGAGTGGTTTCAAACTCCTGGGCCCAAGCGATCCACCCGCATCGGCCTCAGAAAGTGCTGGGATCATAGGCATGAGCCACTGTACCTGGCCTATATTAATTAGAATTTTAAACTCGTAGTAACCTTAAATTACAGTGAAAACCTAGGGAGCAAGAAATCTCTCACATATCAGTATTATCAGTATTTTATGAGTGAGTGCAATTTTATAGCAACATAGAAAGTTATATGGGTATAAAAATCCATATAACATATCCACATAAATATAACTCTAGGAAAAAGTTAACATAGCAACCAAAATTATGACTAATAATGTAGGGACCAGCCCCACAGGGTCTGTGGGGTTTTTCTCCCCATGTGTGGAGATGAGAGATCATAGAAATAAAGACACAAGACAAAGAGATAGAAGAAAAGACAGCTGGGCCCAGGGAACAACTACCACCTAGACACAGAGACCAGTAGTGACCCCGAATGCCAGGCTGTGCTGTTATTTATTGGATACAAGACAAGGGGGCAGGGTAAGGATTGCGAGCCATCTCCAATGATAGGTAAGGTCATGTGGGCCACGTGTCCACTGGACGGGGGCCCTTCCCTGTTTGGCAGCTGAGGTGGGGAGAGAGAGACAGAGAGGAGACAGCTTATGCCATTATTTCTGCATATCAGAGACTTTTAGTACTTTCACTAATTTTGCTACTGCTATCTAAAAGGCAAGCCAGGTGTATGGGAGGGAACATGAAAGTGGACTAGGAGTGTGACCACTGAAACACAGTGTCACAGGGAGATGGTCAGGCCTCCAGATAACTGCAGGTGGGAATGACTGACGTCATGCCTTCCACAGGAGGTGGAGGAACAGAGTCTTCTCTAAACTCCCCCGGGGAAAGGGAGACTCCATTTCCCAGTCGGCTAAGTAGGGGTGCTTTTCCTTGGCACTGATGCTACTGCTAGACCATGGTCCCTTTAGGTCATGGGCATCTTCCCAGATGCTGGTGTTACCGCTAGACCAAGGAGCCCTCTGGTGGCCCTGTCCGGGCATAACAGAAGGCTCACACTGTTGTCTTCTGGTCACTTCTCACTATGTCCCCTCAGCTCCCATCTCTGTATGGTCTGGATTTTCCTAGGTTTTTATTGTAGAGCAAGGATTATTATAATATTGGAATAAAGAGTAATTGCTACAAACTAATGATTAATGATATTCATATATAATCATATCTATGATTTATATCTAGTATAACTATTCTTATTTTATATATTTTCTTTATTACACTGGAACAGCTCTTGCCCTCGGTCTCTTGCCTCGCACCTGGGTGGCTTGCTGCCCACATAATAACAGATTTCCAGAAGAAAAAAATATAAAACCATCTGACCAGTAAACCCTGGTAAAATGTACACGGACCATTTTGAAGATATTTCTATTTTTATTTTACCACTAATTTTAGAATAGTTTATTTATCACAGATTTAATTAAGTCACATGAATTAAAAAGCATTTAGGTTAATTTTTGTATATTTCATAAGGTCATTTATCTAAATAGACTTTCTTAAGGGATTTCTGGCTCACTACACCAGATTTTACCATGTAGGCAAAACATATAACAAAATACATGTGTATATACATAAACACATCTGACCACATATACACACACAAATAACAGATCTTATGTTTTTTTATTTTAGGCTTTTAGTCATGAGATAGTAATACTAATCCACCAGTTTATAAAAGACAGTTTTATATTTTTTGGCAAAATGTAAAACATGGCTAAAATTTATTTGCCGCAAAAGATAATCTAATAAGTGTTGTGAACCACAGTTTGGGTAAAGCAGTTTCCATGGCAGTTTGATTTTTTAAAAAACTTTTTTCACCTTTTCTTAAGTTTCAAATGAGTTTAGGGTTATATTTTCAATATTTACATTTAAGCTGGGACTGGATAAATTGTATAAGAAAAATAAAATATCCATGTAACCTTGAATTAGAAGCAAATCTATTTTCTCTTTGCCAGTGTGATTTGCTTGACTAGCAAGTGTGGACAAGAAAGATTTTTAGCGGTTTTAAATTATTTATAGTTTTTATTTTTTGCTTTTGTGTGCAGAAACAGCAAAATTTTTGTGCTAGACATACCTTAGGTTATTGCTGTACGGTCAAGATTTTGACCTGCTTGATCTGAGAGCCTAATTTCATAAATATTTATCTAGTTATTTTTCTCTTACATTAACTTCTAATTAAGTATTCTGTTGTTGCACACAATTGTAAGTCAGGTAAACCTAAATTTATATTTCTTACTTTTTCTTAACCCACGGTATTTTGGAATTAAATTTATATTTCAAAGATTATCTCACTTGTTGATATCATGAAGCTGTTGTAATTTATAAAACCATTAAGTTGAATACTCTTTAAGATTTGGGGCACAGGCCAGAATTCCATAAACAGTGAATGGGCAGAAGAAGAACCGAGAGAGGTATACAGAGAACTTAGAAAACTCGACATGTTAACTCTATAATTGCAGGTTTTTCAAATAATGACTATTGGAGATCTGAATTTTCCTTGATGTAATTTTCCCAGCAAGGTAAAAATATGAGCCATAATATATAACCAGCTGGAGTCCCAGAAAACCTAGCATGCCTTAATGTTTGAGAATGCGATTCTGTTTTGTTTTTTGTTTTTTTTTTTAGATGGAGTCTTGCCCTGTCGACAGACTCTCATGCAGTGGCACAATCTCGGCTCACTGCAACCTCCACTTCTCAGGTTCAAGCTATTCTCCTGCCTCAGCCTCCTGAGTAGCTGGGACTACAGGCACATGCCACCACGCCTGGCTATTTTTTTTTTTTGTATTTTAATATAGACGAGGTTTCACCATGTTGGCCAGGATGGTCTTGATCTCTTGACCTCGTGATTCACCCACCTTGGCCTCCCAAAGTGCTGGGATTAGAGGCGTGAGGCACCGCACCTAACAACCATTCTGTTTTTCATTAATCTTTCAAGAGTAGAGAAAATCCTATAAATCCTGTCATGGAATTTCCGGGGTTTAGGCCAGTGTTTTAAAGGGTGACAACTGCCCTGGCAGCTTTTAGTTAGCCATCCTGACCCACCATTTAGAATGTTTACTTTTGCATTTGGGAGAATTTCAGAAACAAGGATAAAGAGTCAAACAAAATCAAAAGAAACCAAGATAAGATTGTTCACAAAAATTTTAACCTAGACATGTAGATCAAAATATTAAACTAGGCATTCAGACCAATTTGAAAGTAAATTCACTAGAATATATGCCTCACAGACAGAATGTAAAATCTGTAGAAACCAAGAGTAATCCAGAAAGACACTGATCTTTATTCCAGAAAGGACTTACCAGAAAAGACAAAAAGTCTTTTATCATCTCTGGAGAGACTTGTGGTCCTTCATTAAGGTAGCTTATCCAAACCAGTTTCCAAATGGTATAAAAAAACCTCTACCAAAAGGAGGGAGGCTTAGCCTGAAAGAAGACAGGAAAAACAGGCAGGAAAAAACAAGCTGCAAAAGAAAGCAAAGAGCTCAAAGGGTTCAAAGGTGTATACTGCACACTGGTTCTGGGAGTAATTCCTCTCAATCTTGGTTTCTGAAGAAGAACTCAGATTCTTGGGGGGTGGTAAATAATTATACTTTCTGTGGTTAATTAGGGAGAACATCTGTGGGCTTTTGGGTTAAAGGATCACTGATATCATGAAAACCAGGGCAGCCTCTCCCAAGAATACTCTGTTCCTCCTTGTCTTCTTCATTCACAGACAAGATTCCCTTCATCTGAGAAAGCCAATTCTCATCCAAAGGATCCACCTCACACAAGTCCAGGGTAATTATAATGTATTGGCAACACCCACTCACTATATTGTACATTTTGAAAAAGCTATGAATTTCACTACATCTGCATTTAACAGTTCAGCACAAAAATGCAGATGCTGTGTGCAGAGTCTTTTTCTTGGAATGCTGATTTCTTGGGCTCAGTGCTTTCTCCAGAGGTTTTGCACAATTTGGGGATTTTCTCTACAGAACGGAGAAGGCTTTTTTTTTTTTGCTAAATACAAAAGACAAGCTCTTGAGAGGAAAAAATCATGTTTCTATATAAAAGTAAATGTGATTCCCAAAGGCCTACTTTGAAAGAAAAGGGAAAAAACTGAGGTGTCATTCCAGACAGTGTGATAGGTATGTCAACAAATGATAGATATGTCCAACGGACATATCCAAATACACGCTTCGTAAACATGGATCAATTTTTATTTATTCAAAAAATCTCTTTGTGGGCTGCTTTCCAAAAAGGCAAAATCAATTATTTTGAGCGGGTAGAAAATCTTCAAATTTTGAGGGTAAATTGGAAGTTGAAGAACAATCAAGTCATTCATAGCAGGGTCTGATAAGTCAGGAGGATGAATGAATGGAAAGAATGCTGTTGGTGTCCAAAGGTAAACCTGGCTTGCTTCTGGCAAGTGGCGTCTAAGGCACATACAATGTGATAGCTTTGAAGGGCAGAAGGTCTTGACATTGACTCTCCACAATGATATGGAGATCAGTGTGAGTGCCGGCATGTTGACTCCTGGGAGACTACTAAGCATTTGCCACCTCCTCCAAGATGGAGGTCCACAAGAAGCCTCCAGAGCCATTCACAGGTGTTGGCAACTTCTAGCATCAGTGCAGCTCTCCTTAACTGCTCAGCTGGAGACACGGACAATATTGGCAATACAGTATTCTTGTGGGATTTGTTTGCTTCCAGCGTAACAGATGAATTTTTCTCCAACAAACACAACAATTCATTTTCAACAGGCACCAGTTCCTCCTTAATATGGAAGATTCACCATGTCTTAGTGTGGGTTCCCCCAGGAGCAGAATTTAAGACAAAGATTTCAGTGCACATGGTTTATTTGGGACATGATCCCAAGGAGACTGGAAGCATTGGTCAAGGAGGGACAGAATGGGACAGGGAACAGGAAGAAGACAAAATAAGGATGTGTTGCCAAGTGAGTTACACTGCAGATGACTGGTGCTTACTCCCATGACAGAACTCTGGGGAGCCACGTCGAACATGGACCTCAGAGTTACACAGCCAAGGAACAACGGAACTGAGGCATGTATTCTCCAGTCCAGTCAGTAGTAGAAGGCTTTTCTGCGGTGGGGAATGGAACCCAGGCCAAGTGGGCTGTAGCTGCAGAGAAGGGGATACACAACCTTAGGTAAGAGGGTGCACATGCCAGCCATTGGATGTGGGGCTGGAGGAAGACATTCGGCTGGGCTCCTACCGTGTATTCTATTATACTGTTAGGGTTAGTAAGAGACAGCTGGTGATGATGTTGTCAGTTAAGAATAGCCATCATTTGCTTAGTGAAGTGTGGAATTGTCCTGGGAGTCTAAATTGCTAAGCTATTTTCACACATAACTCCCACAGCTTGTCCACAGCTAATTTCAGGATATATGTCAACAGGTAAGAATAAATGTGATATACTGGTATATGTTACATCAGTGGTCCCTAGCCTTTTTTGGCACCAGAAATGGGTTTCATGGAAGACAATTTTTCCACAGATGGCAGGGAGGATAGTTTCAGGATGAAATTCTTCCACTTCCAATCATCAGGCATTAGATTCTCATAAGTGCATGCAACCTAGATCTCTCACATGTGGAGTCCACATTGGGGCTCGTACTCCTATGAGAATCGAATGCTGCAGCTGATCTGATAGGAGACGGAGCTCAGGTCATAATGCTTGCTCAGCCACCACTCACCTCCTGATGTGCAGCCCGGTTCCTCAGAGGCCACGGACACATACCTGTCCATGGCCCAGGGGTGGGGACCCCTGAGTTACATTATATATACTGTTAATATCTGGCTGTACAAAACAGTATTGTGAAAACATTTATAGTCCTGTTTGAGGGTCTTTTCTGAAGCTTTCCATTTACAAATAGAAAAGAATATTAAGGCCAGGCATGGTGGTTCATTCCTGTAATCACTGCACATTGGGAAGCTGAGGCAGGAGGATCCTTTGAGCCCAGGAGTTTGAGATCACCCTGGGAAACATGGAAAAACCCTCTGTGTACAAGAAAATACTAAAATACACCAGGTGTGGTGTCACATGCCTGTGGTCTCAGGTACTTAGGAGGTTAAGGTGGGAGGATCACTTCAGCACAGGAAGTTGAGGCTGCAGTGAGTTGTGATTGCACCAGCCTGGGTGATAGAGTGTCACCCTGTCTCAAAAAAAAATATTAAAACAGATACTGTGGTTTCTATCTTTTTGGTCCTCTCATAGCAAAAATCAACAAAAGAAACTAATGTATAAGCTAGCAAAATACAGCAAGCACTAGGAGTTTTCTATTTCAGTGCCTTAGGCAATCTGACAGATAATGTAGTTCAAAAAAAGTGTTTGCTGTACTGTGAAATGTACATTTAGATATTCAGACAGCCTCTTGACACAGACATTGCTATAGTGGTTTCTGGCATAATTTAAGGCTTTTTATTCTTGATTAACAGTGAGATGCCATCCGCCTCAGTGTGTGCCCTAAGAAATCAAAGAGATGCCAGGAAGGAAATGTATTAATGAGGAGTATAAAATTCTACTTTTAAAAAACATCTTGGCCGCATGCAGTGGCTCATGCCTGTAATCCCAGCACTGTGGGAGGCTGAGGCGGGTGGATAGCCTGAAGTCAGGAGTTCGAGACCATCCTGGCCAACATGATGAAACCCCGTCTCTACTAAAAATACAAAAAATTAGCTGGGCATGGTGGTGCATGTCTGTAATCCCAGCTACTCGGGAGGCTGAGGCAGGATAATCGCTTGAACCCGGGAGAAGGAGGTTGCGGTGAGCTGAGATCGTGCCATTGCACTCCAGCCTGGGCAATAAGAGTGAAACTCCATCTCAAAATAATAATAATAATAATAATAACCACGGATTTTTGCAAGGCTACAAAGCAAAGGGAATGCCTATACACTCTTGGTAGGAATGCAAATTAGTTCAGCCACTGTGGAAAGTGGTTTGAAGATTTCTCAAAAAACAGAACTATCATTAGACCCAGCAATCCCATTACTGGGTGTATACCCAAAAGAAAATAAATTATAATTATTCTACCCCAAAACACATACTCTAATATGTTCACAATAGCAAAGACATGCAATCAACCCAGGTGCACATCAATGATGAATAGGACAAAGAAAACGTGGCATGTGCACACCATGGAATACTATGCAGCCATAAAAAATAATGAAATAATGTTCTTTGCAGCAACATGGATGCATCTGAAGCCCATCATCCCAAGCAACTTAATGCAGAAACAGAAAACCAAATATCGCAGGTTCTCATTTATAAGTGGGAATGCAATCTTGGGTACACACAGACGTAAACATGGGATCAATAGACACTAGCGACTCCAAAGGAGGGAGGAGGGAATGGGGCAAGACCTGAGAAGCTTCCTATTAGTTATTATGTTCGCTATCCCGTTGATGAGATCAATAGAAGCCCAAACTTAAGCACCATGCTATATACCCTTGTAACAAATCTGCACATGTACCCCTGAATCTGAAATAAAAAAACAAAATAGAAATGTTTTATTAGTCTAAATCCTGTCAACATGACATAAAAATAATTATCAGGTTGGGCACAGTGGCTCATATCTGTAAACCCAGTGCTTTGAGAAGCAAAGGCTTGAGGCCAGGAGTTCGAGGCCAGCGTAGTCAACATAGCAAGACCCCATTTTTACTAAAAAGAAAAAAAAGAAAAGAAAATACTCAAAATAAAGAGCAATCGCCTTTCTTACTCCTTCTTCTCTCTTCATTCCTACACCAGTATTATTTTTCTAAATGACAACAATTATCAATATTTATTAAGATTGTGAAATTCTAGTACTTTTCAATAATAAATATCAACTAATTGCATTGTTTTTAAAATCAATATTTCAAAAACAAATAAATATTTCACATGGTTATAAAAGCACAAAACATTGATGAAAGTTTAATAAAAACATGAAAATAAATTATTTCAAATAAATATAAAGTTAATATAATTTAATTGAAGGAAAAACTACTTGAAAATAATTAAGGTTTTTCAGGTTCAAATCAACAAATTCCATGATCAACAATTTAAAATATTAAGGTCTGGTAAGTGATAGAATTAATGCCTAAATATGTCTAAATGACAACATTGCTAACCGATGTTTTTGTTTATTTATTTATTTATTTTTGAGATGGAGTCTTGCTCTGTTACCCAGGCTGGATTGCAGTGGCACGATCTCAGCTCACTCCACACTCTGCCTCCCACGTTTAAGCGATTCTCCTGTCTTAGTGTCTTGAGTAGCTGGGATTACAGGCAAGTGCCACCGCGCCCGGCTAATTTGGTATTTTCAGTAGAGACGGGGTTTCGCAATGTTGGCCAGGCTGTTCTCGCTCTCCTGACCTCAGGTAATCTGCCCATCTCAGCCTCCCAAAGTGCTGGGATTACAGGCGTGAGCCCCCACGCCTGGCCTGATGTTATTTAATTTTTATTTTAAAGAAAAATCCCTAAGCAATTCATGGTGCTAAGTACAAATAAGTCAAAAATAAAGCACATAACTTTCTTTCCTGCAGGACCTCATAATTTAGTTGGGATGACAAGATTAAAAATAATAGTGATAAACCCTATGATAGAAGGAAAAAATGAAACTAAAGGAGTGTGGAGGAATAAGGTCTCTATGAGTTTTGCAGCCACTTTGTAGACATGACACTTGAATTTTAAATAAGTTAAAAGAAAAAAAATTGACAACTTCCAAACCTTTCTCTCTCACCCAACTTTATTCCTATGTATTATTTCTATTAATGATTATCATAAATTAGGACTTCTAAATTAGTAAATATTGGCCGGGTGCAGTGGCTCACATCTGTAATCTCAGCACTTGGGGAGGCCGAGGCAGGTGGATCACAAGGTCAAGAGATCAAGACCATCCTGGCCAACAGGGTGAAACCCCATCTGCACTAAAAATGCAAAAAAAAAAAAACAAAAAAAAACAGGTGGGCATGGTGGTGGGCCCCTGTAGTCCCAGCTACTCGGGAGGCTGAGGCCGGAGAATCGCTTGAAACCATGAGGTGGAGGTTGTGTGAGGCAAGATCGCGCCACTGCACTCCAGCCTGGAGACAGAGCAAGATTCCACTTCAAAAAAAAATTCGTAATATGCTTAAAAATAATAAATTCAGTTCATGCTAACAAAATAGTATTTTAAAATAAAACAAGTCCTCAAATAGTTTGAAGAGTTGCAATGTTTTTACATTTTTGCAAAATGTTTGGCTTAACTGAAGACAGATTGATACTCATATCTGCTTCTCAATTCAATCTGTTCCAATATGTTGTTTTGGCTAAGTGTGTGAAGAAAATAGTGCCCCACACAGACATGAAGTTGTAGAAAGGAAGAATAATTTAAAATAATTTTTGGACGAGGTGTGGTGGCACACGCCTGTAATCCCAGCACTTTCAGTGGCTGAGGCAGGCGGATCACTTGAGATCAGGAGTTCGAGACCAGCCTGGCCAACACGGTGAAACCCCGTCTCTACTAAAAATACAAAAATTAGCCAACGTGGTGGTGAGTGCCTGTAATCCCAGCTATTTGGGAGGCAGAGGCAGGAGAATTGCTTGAACCCAGGAGGTGGAGGTTGCAGTGAGCCAAGATTGTGTCCAGCTTGGTGACAGAGTGAAACTCCATCCGCCCACAAAAAAAAAAAATAAGTATTTTTGGCCAAATATTGTTCTTCTTCTTTGATCTCCAAACAAATGCTTTATTCAGGTTATTGCAATGGGAGGCATGACACCACATCATATGCTTTTTCTTCTATATCACATTAAAACCTATAGGTCTATTTTCAATGTTAATGGGTCTTTTACAAATCATGATTTTTATCATATTGGCATGGCCATTGGGAAAATATTGGTTCATCAAATAATGCAGATGTTCCAAATATTGATACACTTTATTATAAAATATTTTGAAATTCAGTAATATTACCCTTGATCTCCTTAGAAAAATCCATAAGTTTTGAAAAATTATCATGTTCCAGAATGCAGATACGTTTTCCAAATTTTAATTTTCACTTGAAAACTTTTTACATTTTCAGTAACAGCTCAGTTTTTTTTTTAAGACAATATCACTTTTTTTTTTTTTTTTCAGAGAAGGTCTTGCTCTGTTACCCAGGCTGGAGAGCAGTGGTGCAATCATAGCTCACTGCAACCTCTGCCTCCCAGGGCCAAATGATCCTCCCTCCTCAGCCTCTCCAGTAGTAGACTCTGGGCAGCAAGCCACCCAGGTGCCAAGGCAAGAGACTGAGGGTATGAGCTGTTCCAGTGTAATAAAGAAAATATATAGAAGAATACTTGTACTAGAAATAGAATATAGATGATGATATGTGAATATTAATAATCATTAGTTTGCAGTATTACTCTTTATTCCAATATTATAATAATCTCTGTTCTACAACTATAACCTAGGAAAAACCAGGCCATACAGAGATAGGAGCTGAAGGGACATTGTGAGAAGTGACCAGAAGACAAGATTACGAGCCCTCTGTCGCGACCAGACACGGCCACCAGAGGGCTCCCTGGTCTAGCGGTAACTCCAGCGCCTGGGACGTCACCGGTTACTTAGCAGACCGGGAAAGCGAGTCTCCCTTTCCCCGGGGTAGTTAGAGAAGACTCTGCTCCACCACCTCTTGTGGAAGGCGACATCAGTCAAGCTCGCCCGCAGCTACCCGGAGGCCTGTCTCCCTGTGATGCTGTGCTTCAGCGGTCAGGCTCCTGGTCTGCTTTCATATTCCGCCCTCTGCACCTGGCTCGGCCTTCTAGATAGCAGTAGCGGAATTAGTGAAAGTACTAAAAGTCTTTGAAATGCATAGTAGAAATAATGATGTAAGCTGTCCTCTCTCTCTCTCCGCCTCGGCTGCCAAACAAGGAAGGTCCCCCGACTGGTGGACACGAGACTCACGTAACCTTACCTATCATTGGAGATGGCTCACACTCCTTACCCTGCCCCCTTGCCTTGTATCCAATAAACAACAGTGCGGCCAGGCATTCGGGGCCACTACCAGTCTCCACATCTTGGTGGTAGTGGTCTCCCGGGCCCAACTGTCTTTTCTTCTATCTCTTTGTCTTGTGTCTTTATTTCTACGATCTCTCATCTCTGCACAAGGTGAAGAAAACCCACAGACCCTGTAGGGCTCATCCCTACAGTAGACTACAGGCTTACATCATCACCCCTGGCTAATTTTTTTTGTAGAGATTTGGTTTCACCATGTTGCTCCAAATGGTCGCAAACTCTTGAGCTCCAAAAGTGCTGGGATTACAGGCGTGAGCCACTGCACCCTGTCACACTTAGTTCATTTTTAAGTAATAAGTGCTCTATGAGTTCTTACCATTTTATCAAATAGAATACTGAAAAGACATACTTGGGGATCTAGATTGAATGAAAATTTTATTTTTTACTGCTTCATCAATGATATTCTTAAGTAACATGAAAATAAAATTGGCATGTTTACTTATTGAGGCAACCACGTGACTGTAAATAATAGAACTGCTACTATTGTTTGGAGCCACTGTCTTGTTTTGTGCTACGGTTTTACTTACTACTGCATTTGCACCAAAGCAGAGAACAAAAACAAGCGAAAAAGACAAGTAACATAGCTGTATTATGATAGAAAGAGTCTTATTTTCATGGAGCACTCTGAGATCCACTGTTCCAGATATAGTTCTCTCCCAGAACCATCACCTGTTCTGTCACAAAGTTTTATTAATTCTACTTCTCAAGTATTCTTCTACTCACTGCTTCCTCTCCACAACTTTATGACTCAGTGAAACCCTCACTCTCTCTCACCTGAAATATTTCCATTTTCCATCATGTTTCCATCAGACTGCACTCCTCTTACTTCCCGTTATCTTGTTCACTTCCAGACTAACATCTCTAGACAGGTAACTGTGTTCCTCAAGGACTTAAAAGCACTTAACAACAGCTTAAAACTTAGGTTCTCACTCTTTAGCAAGGACTTGAAGACTTTTAATGATTCAGCTCCTGCTCACAAATCTAACCTCACTTTTTCCCACATCAACACTGAACAGAAGCTAAGTTCCACTCATATATAAAATCTTTCAATTTTCTTGAATAAAAAAGATTATGTGGCTGTCACCCATAATCTGACTCCAGAACTCTGTTTCTGCACCTTCCTGTCAAACTCATAATAAGTCTCCGTATTAGTCTGTTCTCATGCTGCTAATATGGACATGCCCAAGCCTGGGTGATTTATAAAGAAAAATAAGTTTAATGGACTCACAGTGCCACGTTGCTGGGGAGACCTCACAATCATGGCAGAAGGCAAAGGTCAGGTCATACACAGCAGCAGACAAGAGAGAGCATGGGCAGGGGAACTTCCCTCCATACAACCATCAGATCTCATGAGACTTATTCACTATCATAAGAACAGAACAGTCCTCATGATTCAATTACTTCTCACTAGGTCCCTCCCACAATACGTGGGAATTATGGGAACAACAATTCGAGATTTGGATGAGGACACAGCCAAACCATATCAGTCTCATAATAACGACCAAAGGCCAAGCCTTCCCTAAATCGTCCTTAAGAGACTCATGCAGATTTCATAATTTGCTCCCAGTTGGGCCTTTTCTCAAGACTTTGAGATTTTGATCTGGACTCAGATGCCTTTGTGGCTCATTATGAATTCCATTTGTGTTCTTACACTGGACTCAGTAAGATAGCTACTCTTTCATCAATTTGTGTCATTATTTATTAATTCTTTGCATAATTGGACTTCGAAATAGGATTTTAAAAAATGTTTTGACCGTGTGCTCTTCACAATGAAGATCACTAGGCATTTGTTATGTGATTCTTTCTTTTCTATCATATGGGAGAAAATAGGATTGGGCTGTGTGCCCTGAGAGGGAGGGCACATTTAGATATTTTAGGAGCTGTAAATAGAAGACCAAATATCAGAGAGAGAGACTTCGCTTCACCTGTAGTTCAAATGGTTTGTTAGGACAGGAACAGTGGCTCATGCCTGTAATTACAGCACTTTGGGAGGTTGAGGCAGGTGGATCACTTGGGCTCATGAGTTCAAGACCAGACTGAGCAACATGGTGAAACCCTGTCTTTACAAAAAATAGAAAAACTAGCCAGGCTTGGTGATGAACAGTATTATGAGGTTGCACTTCACTGAAAAACCAAAGTTGTTTAGCACTTCCATGTGAACCACACCATCTCACAACTATGACGTGTAGCAGAAGTCCATTCCCAAGGACACAAAGAAGACACACCATGTTAATGGAATGACATACTGCAATGTATCTAGATAAACCATCCTGGGCCTTGATGAGACAGACAGATGCAGTCTTGAAGGAACTGATTATACAATGATTCTGCATTTAAATATTTGACCTAATTTTAATGACAAAAATGTATGCACCTTTCATTTTCAAAGTACAGTTGTTCCTCAGTATCCATGGGAAATCAGCTCCAAAATACACCCACAGATACCAAAAACCACTGAAGCTCAATTCTTATATACAATGGTATATTTGCATATAACCCATGCTTATCCTTCCACATGCAGTCATGTGCCTCATAATGACCTTTTAATCAATAATGAACCATGTATATTACCATGGTCCCCTAAGATTATAAACACATATAGAAACCTTCTTGCAGGAAGTCAGAGACCCCGAATGGAGGGACTGGCGGGAACCATGGCAGAAGAATATAAATTGGGAAGATTTCATGGACATTTATTAATACTTTTATAATTAATACTTTTATGATTTCTTATCCCTGTCTTACTTTAATCTAATCCCATCACCTTCGTAAGCTGAGGATGTATGTCACCTCAAGACCCTGTGATGATTGCATTAACTGTACAAATTGTTTGTAAAATGTGTATTCAAACAATATCAAATCTGATTGTAAAACATGGTTGTTTGAACAATATGAAATCAGTGCACCCTGAAAAAGAACAAAATAACAGCAATTTTCAGGGAATGAGGGAAGATAACCATAAGGTCTGACTGCCTGCGGGGTCAGACAGAATACAGCCATATTTTTCTTCTTGCACAGAGCCTATAGATGGACGTGTGAGTAAGAGAATATCACTGAATTCTTTTCCCAGCAAGGAATATTAATAATTAATACCCTGGGAAAGGAATGCATTCCCAGGGTTAGGTCTATAGACGGCTGTTCTGGGAGTGTCTGTCTTATGCAGTTGAAATAAGGACTGAAATACACCCTGGTCTCCTGCAGTACCCTCAGGCTTGCTAGGATTGGGAAATTCCAGCCTGGTGAATTCTAGTCAGACTGGTCTCTGCTCTTGAACCTTGTTTTCTGTTAAGATGTTTATCAAGACAATGTGTGCACAGTGGGACACAGACCCTCATCAGTGGTTCTAATTTTGCCTTCACCTTGTGATCTTTATGACCCTTTGAAGCATGTGATCCTTATGACCTACTCCCTGTTCATGCACCCCTTCCCCTTTCAAAATCCCTAATAAAAACTGGCTGGTTTTGCAGCTCAAGGTCGCCATCATGGTCCAATGTGATGGCACCCCCAGAGGCCAAGCTGTAAAATTTCTTTCTTTTTACCCTTTATTTCTCAGACCAGCCAACACTTAAGGAAAATAGAAAGAACCTACGTTGAAATATTGGGGGCTGGTTCCCCCGATAAAACCTGATATGTGGGACTTGATACTAGCACTGCAGATCAAGTAGGGAAAGTGACTGATATTCAATGATGGTGTTAGAACATATGATTTCTCATAAGAAAAAATATAAACATATATACCATCTAGGATTATGTAAGCACACTTTATGATGTTCACAAAACAAAAATGTTGCTTAGTAATGCATGTCTCAGAACATACACATGTCATTAAGCCATGCATGAGTGTACTTTATATCATCTCTGGAACACTTCGGTCAATCAGGAAACATGACCGAGACAAATCTCAATCATTTTAAGAGGTTTATTTGCCAACATTAAGGATGCACACCCAGGAGACAAGTCTATGCCTTTCTTTAAAAATGATTATGAGGGCTCCAAATTTAAAGGGGAAAGGGTGAAACACTGAGAAATACAGTTTTCATGTAAGACTGGGGTAGGGGGAAAACATTCATTGATATGGTTTGGCTCTGTGTCCCCACCCAAATTTCACCATAAATTGTAATAATCCCCATGTGTCAAGGGTGGGGCCGGGTGGAAGTAATTGGATCATCAAAGCAGTTTCCTCTATGCTGTTCTCATGATAATGAGTCACATGAGATCTGATGGTTTTGTAAGTGTCTGGCCTTTCCCCTGCTTGCACTCAATGTCTCTCCTGCCCCCCGTGAAGAGGTGCTCTCTGCCATTATTGTAAGTTTCCTGAGGCCTCCCCAGTCATGCAGAGCTGTGAGTCAATTAAACCTCTTTCCTTTATAAATGACCCAGTCTTGAGTATTTCTTCAGAGCAGTATGAGAACAGACTGATACAGTCATTCATGCCTTTGTCTCAGTGAATCTGCATTTATACATAACATAGACAAACAGGGAGGGGAACAATCAGATATGCATTTGTGTCAGGTGGGCAGAGGGATGACTCTGAGTTCTGTCCTATGCACTGTAAAGATGAGCTATCAGACCAGGCACAGCAGCTCACATCTGTAATCCCAGCACTCTAAGAGGCTGAGGTGGCTGGATCACCTGAGGTCAGGAGTTTGAGACCACCCTGACCAACATGGAGAAACACCATCTCTACTAAAAATACAAAATTAGCCAAGTGTGGTGGTGCATGCCTGTAATCCCAGCTACTCAGGAGGCTGAGGCAGGAGAATCACTTGAACCTGGGAGGCAGAGGTTGCGGTGAGCCGAGATTGTGCCATTGCACTCCAGCCTGGGTGACAATAGTGAAACTCCATCTCAAAAAAAACAATAAAAAGGATAAGCTATGAATTTACATTGCCATGATGAATTTTAACAGAAACACTTTAAAGATCTTAAAGTACACCAGAAATTTCCTTGTGGGAAAAATATGAGTGGGGGGCTACAAGATAAAAAGCTTTTTATCTTGTAGCCATCTTATTTAGGAACCAAAAGGAGGAGGCAGGTTTTCATGAGTGAGTTCCCAGCTTGATTTTTCCCTTTAGCTTAATGAGTTTGGAGTCCCAATCTTTATTTTCCTTTCACACTTAGAAGACCAAATACAATGTGGATGTAAATAGTTGTGTTGTTTAGGAAGTAATGACAAGAAAAAGTCTGAATATGTTCACTACAGATGCAAGCGTCTGATTTTATTTCAAATATTTTGCATCCAAGTTTGTTTACATACACAGATATTAAAAGTACAGATACAAAAAGGTGAGTGTACTTACAAATTAATAGCTCTACACAGGCAGCATAAAATTCTCTTTGTACATGCCAAAAACATTCTGTGTCTACCCAGGGTGAATACAGCCACTTCACAAACATGGTGTAAATAAGGAGGTTCATTAAGTACAAGAAAGTTACATGACCATATTGGCATTTTAACAGCCATTCATGAGAAAGAGAATAGGAAAGGGCTTAAGAGTCAGAGGAGAGGAAAAGAGGAAGACAGATGACCTCCTACATCAGAAGATGGAGCAGTGAGAATACAGAATAGGGAAGCAATAGTTAAAAGGAAAAAAAGTAGAAACAGGATTTGATGTCAGTTTGCTGTGCAGAGGGTAAAAAGGGGAGTTTTATTTCCAGGCTATCTGCCATGATCACAGTGAGTTTGTTACTGGTGATGTGAAATTTGGAAAAATAAAAGAACAATAGGATGGCCAGAAGTGATACAGACTTGGACACATCATGTTTGAAATATCTGAGGTCCCATATGTAGGGATGTCCAACTGGCAATTGGGAATACAATTCCAGAGTTCACAAGAGATATCAAAGCTGGAGATAAAGATTTTGAAACTATCAGAATTTCAATGGTACCTGAATCCATCAGACCAAATGAACCTAAGAGAATGAAAGGATAAAAAGGAACAAGTACAGAATCCACAGAATCCCTAATATTTACAAAGAGAAATAAACTGTTAAGACCAAGAAGGAACTTTCTGAGTTTATTTCACAAATTAAGAACAGCTCAATATTAGAAAGTCTACTAATACAATTCATCATATTCAGAGTCCTGAGAAGAAAAATCCTTTAATTGTCCACATAGGCATTAAGAAGAAAAGTCATAGAAACAGATTCCAGGTTCTGATTTCTGCATGTAAGAAGCTTAGAAGTGGCCAGGTGCAGTGGCTCATGCCTGTAATCCCAGCACTTTGGGAGACCAAGGTGGGCAGATAACCTGAAGTCAGAAGTTCAAGACCAGCCTGGTCAACATGGCAAACCCCCATCTCTACTAAAAATAAAAAAATTAGTCTGGGCATGGAGGCTCACACCTGTAACCCCAGCACTTTGGAAGCTTGAGTTGGGTGGATCACCTGAAGTCAGGAGTTTGAGACCCACCTGGCCAACATAGCAAAACCCCATCTCTACTATAAATACAAAAATTAGAAAAGTGTGGTTGTGTTTGCCAGTAGTACCAGCTACTTGGGAGGCTGAGGCAGAAGAATTGCTTGAACCTGGGAGTTGGAGGTTGCAGTGAGCCAAGATCAAGCCACTGCACTACAGCCTGGATGACAGAGTGAGCTCTGCCTCAAAAAATTAAAAAATAAAATAATAATAATATAAAAGTTAGCCAGCATGGTGGTGGGTGCCTGTAATCCCAGATACTCAGGAGGCTGAGGCAGGGAGAATCACTTGAACCTGGGAGCCAGATATTGCAGTGAGTTGAGATTGCACCACTGCACTCCAGCCTGAGCAACAAAGTGAGACTCCATCTCAAAAAAAGGAAAAAAAAAAAAGAATGCAAGTAATCAGTCCATCTTAACAACACATGAAAAGCTGAAAAGATCAGGTGTGGTGGCTCATGCCTATAATCCTAGCACTTTGGGAGGCCAAAGCAGGAGGATCCCTTGAGTCTAGGAGTTTGAGACCAGCCTGGGCAACATAGTGAGACCCCCAACTCTTAAAAAATTTTTTTAATAAAACAAATAAAAGCTGAAGAGACTGAAAAATCTACAATCCTTTTTGGATTTGAATGTGAAGAGAGGACATAGGGCAAGCCACTGCCCCCAAGATTGGAGAGATAGAGAAGTGAATATAGGAATTTATGGCTTACATGAACAGAGACTCACTACTGAAACCACCTTAGGAACCAGTGCTGGAGTAGAAAATCTTGAACTATAACTGGTGAATTGCTGAAGGTTCCATTATGGAGAACTCAAGGAGGTAAAAACGCCAGGGATATCCAGTTATGAAGGAGCATAATATTGTAAAATTTACCTCCTGGAGCTTCACCAGGCTCCTGTGGCAAATACCTGAGAAAACTGGCTTCCTGCTTCCAACTTTGGGAAGGAAAAAGGAAAACCATCTTAAAATATGCCAGAGCACCCTGTTCTTAACAAGACTTGTCCTCAGGAGAAATTACTGAACCTCAGCCTAACTTGCTCTCATATAATCAGATCCTAAATGACCTTCTGGAAGGGAAGTACCCAACTCCAGCCTACTCCAGTCATCCCTAAAGGGGAAGACAAAAACAGAGAAAGACATGTGAAGTTCATAGTCCAAAAGCAGAGACTCACTTAAACAATGAGGCCCAATCGTAAGAGTCCAGAACACTTCTGCTATGGTCTGAACATTTGTTCCCTGCTCGACACCCTGCAAAATGTGCCTGTTGAAACCAAGTCTCCAATGCACTAGAATTAAGGGGTGGGGCCTTTGAAAGGTAATGGCAAAGTCATCCTGATTGGGATTAGTGCACTTATGAAAGAGGCCAAAGGAAGCTTCTTTGTCCATTCCAACATGAGAGGACATATAGCTTGCACCATCTATGAGGAATGGGTCTCATCAAACACTGAATCTCTTGGAACCTTGACTTTGGACTTTATAGCCTCCAAACTGAACAACAAATTTCTGTTGTTTACAAATTACTTGCTCTAAGTTATGCTGGTGGATGGACTAAGACAGCTTCCCCTCCCCTCCAGAGCTTCCCATCATTACAGGATGCACTGTTACAGTAGTTCCTTTTACCTGGTATCCCATATCTAGGAATAAAGAAAAAGCACAAGGCATACTAAAAGGCAAAAAACACAATTTGAAGTGACAGATCATCAGAACAAGACACAGCTATGATGCTGGAATTATCAGACAGGGATTTTTAAAAATATCTCTGAGTAGTATGCTAAGGGCTCTGATGAACAAAGGAGACAGCATTCAAGAACAGATAGGCAATGTAAGCAGAGAGACAGAAGTCCAAGGAAAGAACAAAAAAGAAACAGTAGAGATAAAAAAATACTGCAACAGACCTGAAGAATGTCTTTGATTGGCTTACTAGTAGACTGAACACAACAAAGGAAAGAGTCTCTGAGCTCTGGAAACATTGAAAGAAACTTTAAAAACTGAAAACAATGGAACATAATATCCAAGAACTGTAGGACAGCTAGAAAAGGTGTAACATAGAGTGATGAGAATACTAGAAGGAGAAGAGAGAGAAGTAGAAGAAACATCTGCAACAGTCATGTCTGACAACTTCCACTGTTAATGTCAGACACAAAATCAAAGATCGGAAGCTCAGAGTGCACCAGACAGGACACATGCTAAAAACCTACAGCTAGGCATGTTATTCTCCAACTGTACAAAACAGCAGCTCCAACAGAGCAAAGGTGGAGTGGACAACATCCTACCTATAGAGAAACAAAGAAACAAAGAAAGAGAAACAAAGAAACCTACAGACAAACAAAAATCACATTCAGGCCGGGCTTGGTGGCTCATGCCTCTAATCCCAGTACTGTGGGAGGCCAAGGTGGGTGGATCACAAGGTCAGGAGATCGAGACCATCCTGGCTAACATGGTGAAACCCCGTCTCCACTAAAAATACAAAAAATTAGCCAGGCATGGTGGCAGAAGCCTGTAGTCCTAACTACTCCAGAGGCTGAGGCAGGAGAATGGTGTGAATCCGGGAGGCAGAGCTTGCAGTGAGCTGAGATTACACCACTGCACTCCAGCCTGGGTGACAGAGCAAGACTCTGTCTCAAAAAAAAAAAAATAAAAAAAGCATTGCATTCAACATCTCAGAACCATGAAAGTAAAAAGAGAGTGGAATGAAATATTAAGCATGCTGAGAGAAAAAAAAATGAACTTAGATTTAAGTGCCCTGTGAGATCTTCTTTCAAAAGTAAATGAGAAATAAAACATTCCTTGGACAAACAATAATTGAGGAAACTTGTTATCAGCAAATGTGTCATGTGAGAATATGTTAAACATTATCTAGACAAAAAAAAGATACGCATCTGAAAACTGAATCTACACTTTATTTACTTTTATTTATTTATTTTGAGACTGAGTTTCACTGTGTTGTCCAGGCTGGAGCACAGTGGCACAATCTCGGCTCACTGAAATCTCTGCCTCCGAGGTTCAAGCAATTCTCTGCCTCCGCCTCCTAAGTAGCTGGGATTACAGGAGCCCTCCCCCACGCCTGGCTAATTTTTTTGTATTTTTATTAGAGACAGTGTTTCACCATCTTTGCCAGGCTGGTCTTGAACTCCTAAGCTCGTGATCCACCCATCTCAACATCCCAAAGTGCTGGGATTACAGGTGTGAGCCACTACACCCACCTGAATCTACATTTTAAAAAGAACATTAGAGAAGGAATAAGTGGTGGTAAAATCCTTTTTTTTTTTTTTTTTTTTTTTTTTTTGAGATGGAGTCTCATTCTGTCACCCAGGCTGGAGTGCAGTAGTGTGATCTTGGCTCACTGCAAGCTCTGCCTTCTAGGTTCATGCCATTCTCCTGCCTCAGCCTCCCGAGTAGCTGGGACTACAGGCACCCACCACCACGCCTGGCTAATTTTGTTTTCGTATTTTTATTAGAGACAGGATTTCACCATGTTAGCTAGGATGGTCTTCATCTCCTGACCTTGTGATCTGCCCTCCTTGGCCTCCCAAAGTGCTGGGATTACAGGCATGAGCCACCGTATCCACCTGCTTACTTTTTATTCTTAATTCACCTAACATATAACAGTTTGTATATAATAACAATGTATGCAATTATATACTTTTTTTTTTTTTTGAGATGGAGTCTTGCTCTGTCGCCCAGGCTGGAGTGCAGTGGTGCAATCTCAGCCCACTGCAACCTCCACCTCCTCTCTGGTTCAAGAAATTCTCCTGTCTCAGCCTCCTGAATAGCTGGGACTACATGCGTGTGCCACCATGTCCAGCTAATTTTTTGTAATTTTAGTAGAGATGGGGTTTCACTGTGTTAGCAAGGAGAGTCTCTATCTTCTGACCTCATAGTCCACCTGCCTCAGCCTCCCAAAGTGTTGGGATTACAGGCATGAGCCAAGGCACCCAGCCAATTACATGCTTTAATATATACAAGGCTATGTATGCTTACATATAAGTGAAACAAATGGCAACAATAACACAAGAGATGGGAATATGAGAGAAACAGCTATTACATTTCTTTTAGAAGGCAGTCAAAGTAACTGAACTGGTATAGTGTTATTTGAAGGTGGACTTGGATTTGTTGCAAGTCTATACTGCAAACTCCAGGGCAACTAGTAAAAACCAAAGTATAAAAATACTAAAAAGAGAAAACAGGCCAGGTATAGTGGCTCATGCCAAGGTAGAAAGATGGCTTGAGTCCAGGAGTTAGAGACTATCCTGAGCAACACAGTGAGACCCCGTCCCTACAAAAAAGAAAAGGCCAGGTATTGTGGTGCATACTTGTAGTCCTAGCTAATTGCATACTTGTAGTCCTAGCTAATTGCGTACTGGTAGTCCTAGCTAATTGCATACTTGTAGTCCTAGCTAATTGCATACTTGTAGTTCTAGCTAATTGCATACTTGTAGTCCTAGCTAATGACTTACTTGTAGTCCTAGCTAGTTGGGAGGCTGAGGTGGAAATATCACTTGAACCCACGAGGTTGAGGCTGCAGGGAGCCATGATCACACCACTGCACTCCAGCCTGGGTGACTGCTGTCTCAATTAAAAAATAAAAAGCAATGAGAGGAAACAAAAATCATATAAAATCATCAACTCCATAAAAGGCAGAAAAAGAGTGGAGGACAAACCAAGAACAAAGAACAATAGGAGTGAATGGAAAATGATATGGCAAAATTAACCCAACTGTATAATCACTTTGAATGTCATGGTCTAAATGCACCAGTGAAAAGACAAATTGCTAGAGCTCATCAAAATAGAGGCACACCTCACTTTATCGAGCTTCACTTTATTTAGCTTGGAAACATCACCTTTTTAACAAATTAAAGATTTGTGGCCACAAAGTGCTCAGTAAGTCTGATCAGCACCATTTTTCCACACCGTGTGCTCACTTCACATCTGTGTCACATGTTTTGGCAATCCCCACAATCTTTCAAAGATTTTAGTTATCACATCTGTTATGATGATCTGTGATCAGTGATTTCTGATGTTACTATTGGAATTGTCTCAGAGTGGTGGAAATCTATGGAAGACAGTAAAAACGATGGAAAAGTGTTGTGTTTGACTGTTTCATTGGCTAGTCATTTCCCTATCTCCATTTCTCTCTTCCAGCCCCCCGTTCCCCAAGATACAACAATGAAATTAGGCCCCTCCAGTCTGCAGTGGCCACTATGTATTCAAGTGAAAAGAAGTGTTCACATCTGTCACTTCAAATCAAGAGGTAGAAATCATCAAGCTTAGTGAAGAAAGCATGTTAGAAGCTAAGACAGGCCAAAGATAAGCTTTTTGCATGAGCTACCCAAGTTGTGAATGGAAACAAAAAGTTCTTGAAGGAAGTTATAGGTGCTACTCCAGTGAACACATGAATGATTTAAAAAAAAACCAGATTTTTTACTGACACAGAGAAAGTCTGAGTGGTCTGCATAGAAGATCAAACCAGCCCCAAAATTCCCTTGAGACAAAGCCTAATCCTGAGAAAGGCCCTAACTCTCTTCAATTCTATGGAGGAGAAGAGAGGTGAGAAAGTTGCAGAAGAAATGTTTGAAGCTGGCAGAGGTTGGTACATGAGCTTCTAGGAAAACAGCCATATCTGTGACATTAAAGTGTGAAGTGTGCTGTAAAAATGGGAACAAGAAAGCCTGCATGATAGCACTTCTGTTACAGCATGGTTATAACCTTCTTGTTGGTAGGTCAGGAGGTAATGGTCACCATTTGTGTCCATATTCTCCTAGACTGAGCATGGAGAAATCTATAGTAGTAGCTGGAGAGGTGTAGGTTGTGTGTTCAAGGGAAAAAAAAGTGATTTTGAGGGAATACATAGCCTGCATCAGCTATATCAGATTTCTCTCCTATATGGGTTTGTTGATGCCTGCTGAGGTGTGACTTCCGGCAAAAGGTTTTCCCACATTCCTTACATTTATAAGGTTTTTCTCCTGTGTGTGTTCTCTGATGTATACTGAGGCCTGGCTTCTGGGAGAAAGTTTTCCTACATTCATTATAACTAAAGTGTTATTCCCCTGTGTGAGTTCTGTGCTGTACAAAGAGTTTTGACTTCTGAGAGAAGGTTTTCTTACATTCAAATGGCTTCTCACCTGTGTGAGTTCTCTGATGTATGGTGAGAACTGCCTTATGGTAAAAAGTTTTCCTACATTCATCACATTCACAGGGTTTCTCTCCTGAGTGAATTCCCTGATGCATATTGAGGTTTGACTTGTAACAAAAAGTTTTCCCACACTGATTACATTCGAAAGGTTTTTCTCCAGTCTGAGTTCTATGATGTACAGTGAGGACTGACTTCTGACTGAAGGTTTTTCCACATTTGCTACATTCATAGGGTTTCTCCCCCGTGTGAATACCTTGATGCTTCTGAATATTTGCCTTCTGATGAAAGGATTTTCCACATTCATTACATTCATAGAGCTTTTCCCCAGTGTGAGTTCTCTGATGTATAATAAGGTATGATTTCTGACAAAAAGTTTTTCCACTTTCGTTACATCCATACGGTTTCTCCCCGTGTGAGTACTCTGGTGTATGGTGAGGAATGACTTGCAATGAAAGGTTTTTCCACATTCATTTCATATGTAAGGTTTCTCCCCTGTGTGTGTTCCCTGATGGGTGCTGAGATTTGACTTCTGACGAAAGGTTTTTCCACATTCATTACATTCATAGGGTCTTTCCCCTGTGTGAGTTCTCTTGTGTATCCCAAGGTTTAATTTATTGATAAAGGTTTTCTCACATTTATTACATTCATAGGGTTTTTTGCCAGCATGAGTTCTCTGACGTATAGTTAGAAATGACTTATGACTTACAGTAAAAGGATTTTCCACATTCATTACATTCATAGGGTTTTTCCCGTGTGAGTTCTGTGATGTACTGTAAGGTATGACTTGTGGCTATACGTTTTTCCACATTTGTTACATGCATATGGTTTTTCCCCAGTATGAGTTCTCTGATGTAAAGTAAGGAATGACTTATGGCAAACGGTTTTTCCACATTCATTGCATCCATAGGGCTTTTCCCCTGTGTGAATTCTCTGATGGATAGTGAGGCCAGACTTACAGCTGAACAATTTTTCACACCAGTTACAGGCATAAGGTTTTTCCTCAGTAGGCATCTTGTGCTGTATCATAAGGTCTGATTTGCTAACGGAGGGTTTCTCACATTCAACACATTCATGGGGTTTCTCTCCTGTGTGTGTTTGCTGATGTTTGGTGAAGTCAGACTTTCTACAGCAAGTTGGCTGTCCTACCTGAGTTATCCCTTGGACAATAATAGCTCAGTTATTACAGGCTTTCTCATATTCATTATATTTACCAACGGTCTGTCCTATATGAACCCTCTTATGTATAAAGAACATTGCCTCCATGTTGAAGGTTTTCACTTGTTCATTACATTGAAAAGGCCTGCAGCAGAGTTTGAATCTTGTGATGCTGAGTAAGATGTTCATGACGTCTGTGGGATCTCCTGGTTATATCAAGGACATGAGGTTTCTCTCCAGACTGTGTCTCACCAGGCTTAATAGGGAAAAGCACGTTCTGGCAGACATTAAACTGCCCAGGCTTCATTTCTGAACTGTTTCCATTATTTATAATCAGATTTAAAACATGGTTTGAGTTCAAATTAAATGTTTTTCCTAATTCAACTCTCTCCTGAGTTGATGTGTTGCTGTTGGTGATTACAATTTTCCAGAAAAATCTATCATGACTTTCATGGCTCCTTTCAATAAGGTCATCAATGATCTGGACAGCTGAAATGAGAAAAACGTATCCATGAACCACACAGGAGCATGTCTTAAAGAATGCTTGTGTAAAGGTGAAAAAAATTACTTCCTATCCCAGTGGAGTAAGATTTGATAAAAATTAATAATGGGTATTGGTTTTATATGCATATGGTTCCTGTTCCTTCTGACATCATGTAATAAATCAGTATATTTTCTAATGTTCAATTGAGTTTTTCTTTGCATTTTGAAGTTTTCCTTTTCTTTTTTATTTCACAAAGAATTATTTGGTAATAATATGCATCTACTTCCTACTCATAGGTTTTAATAAGTGCTCATTATCCGTCATTTGTTTTCTCTCTTTTTTTTCTATTTATTCATATAACAATAGTGGCTGTTTTAGTAGTTGCTATTTTTTCATCATTATTCCTTGAAAATAGCCAGTTTTTCTTGGGTCAGCAACTGGCAGGTACAGGAGATGGCCATTTTTCTGTCTCCTAAGCATGGAAGTAGCTTGTAGACAGGATTTTGCCTATATGTTAACTTTTCACTCCTCCCTGAGAATGGTTAAATGTGTCTGGAGGTTTTCCAAGCAGAAAATCTCTTATTCCCCATGTTAAACAAAAACAGATCCTGGCAAATTCCTACTTAAACATGACATCTCCTGCTTCCCAGAACCATAATAGGCAAAGAACCTCCAGTCAAAAAACCATACTGGTGATCTGAAGGATTGGTTCTGCAACTCAGGCTGTGCTCGTCATCTTTGAAAAGTGTATTTCTGGTTCCTTCTGAGATCAACAGCTCTGTCCCTCTCCACTCACACACCCCTGCTTGATAATTCACCATTTTTGAAGGGTTTTATTTTGTGTTTTGGAGTTTCAGATGTCACACAGTTATATATAAAAATGAAGTTTCCTGTACATTTCTCATCTTCAAATGATAACTACAAACTCCACTCTCAAACAGAAATCTGAGCCCTTCAACAGGAAATCATTGGTTTCTTTGGACTTGAGACCGAGAATCTTCTGGTTATCCTCCCAAGTCCAGCACCACCCCTATCCAGGCCCCTATGATGGGTTCTCCTCAGTTTCATAATTTCTTTCTGAGACAGGATCTTACTCTGTTACCCAGGCTGGAGTGCAGTGTTGCTATCATAGCTCACTGAAGCTTCAAACTCCTGAGCTCAAGCAATCCTTCCACCTCAACCTCCCAAGTATAAAAACTGGGATTACAAACCCATGTCACCATACTCAGCTACTATTTTTTTTGTGTGTGTGGGTGGGAGTCTACAAGGATCATTTAAGGCCAGAAGTTTGAGACCAGCCTGGGCAATAGAACAAGACCTCATCTCCACAAACAATAAAAAATTAGCCAGGTGTGGTGGCACACACCTGTAGTCCTACCTACTTGGGAGGCTAGGCTGTGAGGAACACTTGATCCCAGGAGTTCATCGTTACAGTGAACTATAATCATGCCACTGCACTTGAGTCTGAGAAACAGAGTGAGAACCATCTGTTTAATAAAAAATAAAACAAGAAGAATAAAGCTACAGCTTAAAAAGAAACACTATTTTCATCATCATTGTTATAATGACTGATTCTCAAAAATCGCCTAAGATACATTCAAAGGATAAATAAATGCATGAATGTCTAAAAAATTTTTTAAGACACTACATCAGAATAGAGGAAAAGGGGGAAATAGAGAAAATAAATAGCAAAGAAAAAGGCCTAAAGAGAGGATGGCAGGGATTGGATTTGAGGTAAATAGAAGAAGATACTCAGAAAAATAAGAGACTGGGATATATGCATGAGAGTTACCCCTGGGGACTATATAATGGATATTTAATACAGACCAACAGTCTTCAGGTCGAAGACCTAGGGAAAAAAGTGGTGAAAACAAGATAACACTACCAAAATCTGCTGGGCATTACTCCTCCAGGCCTCCCTCCCCAGTATTCACTGACTGACCTGAAAGTCTCAGGTTTGGGGTTTCTTCTACTATCCATGGCTCTGCTCCTTGTTCTAGCTTGAAGATCATCTCAGGTTTGGTAATGCAATGCCCTGGTAATGAGAAACAATGGAATACTTTGTCAAATCACTAAGTCAAATCCTTTTCAGAATGACAAGAGCTGGGCTTCAGGGACTGTGTAATGAAGGAGCCAATTTGAACATTTCATTACAGAGTAATGACACATTTTTCATCAACCAGAATCCTACAAGTAAATATTATTATACCTTAAAAGGGTTTCTATATTTACCAACAACAAAACACATTCCTGGGAGTTACTGGGAAGTTTCACTCACCCAATGATACCAGTCTCCACCATCACGTCCCTGTACAGGGTCCTCTGAACATCATCCAGGTCCTGACACTCCTCCCAGGTAAAGTGCAGAGCCACATCTTCAAAGGACACCAACCCCTGTAATGGCACATATTTCCTCAAGTCAAAGCATCAGCCCAGGGTCAAAAAACAAGAATCTGGGAATTCACTCTTTTGTGTGTCCATGTGTCTTATATGTATTTTAGATAAGACGTAGTTTGTTTTGTACTGTTTATGGTGGGAGAAGGAGTAATCACAGTAGAAATATGCTTCCACTGTAATAACTTATGAATTAATAAAATTGTATTACAAAGTTCACCTTATAGATCTAGAACCACCCTTGTTGCTAGGGATAAAAGTATAAACAAAATGCAAGACCCTCTCTCTTCAAAAGTAAGAAAAAAAAATAGGCATAATGCTGGATGCCTGTAGTCCTGGCTACTCTGTAAGCTGAGGCTGAAGGATTGCTCAAGCCCAGGAGTTTGACAGTGCAGTGAGTGATGATCACACCACTGCACTCCAGCCTGGCCAACAGAGAGCCTATCTCTCAAAAAAAAAAAGAGGAATAAAATTCTACTCCTCAAAGGAGCTCATGATTTGGTTATGAATATATAAGTATAAACACATACTGGGAATAATGTTTAGGTGAACTCATTGAGACACAAGTTCAATGCAGACTAAGATAAGAGAGAAGGAGAAAATAAATTTTGTTTCTTTTGCATCATGAGGTTCCACTTTACTGAAAAATCAGGTGTTTGGCTCTTCCACATGAACCATGAATTCTCATGACTATGAGAAAGTATCAGAAGTCTACTGACAAAGGCAAAGAGAACACACACTACTTTAATGGAACTCTGGACAGCACCATGCCTAGATGAATGATCCTGGTCAGTGATGAAAGCTAAATGCAATATTTAAGGAATTGATTATGCAGTGATTCTGCATTTAAATATTTGACCTAATTTCAAAAATTTTTATGCACCTATCATTTTTACATTACATTACTTCCTCAGTATCCAAGGGGACTGATTCCAAGATAGACCCAGATACCAAAATCCACAGATTGGATAACTCTCTTATATAAACAAGTCTCATATTTACATATAACTTATGTACATCATCCTGTATACAGTCATGAGCTGCATAATAACATTTCAGCCAATGATGAAACATGTATATCAAAATAGTCCCATAAGATGATGATGAAACATACACAGAAACCTGATATTGGCATTGCAGATGAAGTGCAGAAAATGATATTCAATAATGGCTCTGAGCCATCTGGTTACCCATATTCCAAAAACATATAAATAAAAATATACATACCATGTAGGTTTTTGTAACACTATGATGTTCACAAAACAATGAAATTACCTAAAGATGCATTTCTCAGAAAGTAATCCCATCAGTAAGCCATGCACGACTGAACTTTAAATCTTTAGATTACATATAATACTGAAGACAATGTAATGCTACATAAATGGGTGTTATATTTCACTGTTTAGGAAATAATGACAAGAAAAATTTCTGTAGATGCTCTGCACAGAGACAACCATCTATTTTTGTGGGAATATTTTCAATCTGAAGTTGGCTGAATCCGCAGATGCAAAACCCATGGATACAAAAGGGTGAGTATACTTAATTAAAATCATATACACTGGCATTTCAAAATTTCCTTCCTACAGGACAAAAAATTGCTGTATCCACCCAGGGTGAACACAGCCACTTCACAAGCAGGTGTAAATAAGGAGGTCCAGTAAGGACAGAAAAGTTACATGACCATATTGGCATTTTAACAGCCATCCCTGAGAAAGAGAATGGGAAAGGGCTTAAGGGAAAGCCAGAAGGGAGTAAAGAGGAAGACAGATGACCACCTACATCAGTACATCAGGACACGGAGTGTAAGAATACACAATAGGGAAGCAGTTCTTAAAAGGAAAAAAATGTAGAAACAGGATTTGGTCCAATTTGCTGTGCAGTGGGTAAAAAGGGGAGTTTTGTTTCCAAGTTATCTGCCCTGATCCAGCTAGTTTGGTACTTGTGTTGTGAAGTGAAATTTGCAAAGAAATAAAAGAATATGATAACCAGAAGTGACACAAACCTGGACATATCATGTGTGAAGCATCTGAGGTTCCATATGTGGGAATGTTCAACTGGCAATTGGGAATATGGCTCCAGTGGTTCAGAAGAGAGATCAAAACTAAAGATAAAGATTTGGAAATTACCAGAATTTCAATGGTACCTGAATCCATGAGACCAAATGAAAATAAGAGAAGGAAAGAATAAAAGAAACAAGTACAGAATCTACAGAAACACTAACATTTACAGAGGAAGAGAAATAGACTGTGAAGACCAAGAAGGAACTTTCTGAGTTTATTCCACGAATAAAGAAAAGTTCAATATTAAGAAGTCTAATATAATTCATCATGACCATATTCCTGTGGAAAAAAATCCTTTAACTGTGCACATAGGCATTGAGAAGATAGTTTTAGAAACACATTCCAGGTTCCTATTTCTGCATGTAAGAAGCTTGGAGGTAATCAATAATTACTTTACAATAATTAATTTTTATAACAAGCTTAACAACAAATTAATATGACACAATTAATCTTAACAACAAATAAAAAGCTGAAGAGACTAAAAAATCCACAATTGTTTCTAGATTTGAATCTCAGGGGAGGACACAGGGCAAACCACTTCCCCCAGGATTGCAGAGACAGAGAAATGAATATAGGACTTAATGGCTTACAGGAACATGGACTCACTACTGAAACCAACCTTGGAACCAGTGCTGGAGTAGAAAAACTCAAACCGTAACTGGTGAACGGCTGGAGGATCCGCGTGGACAACTCTAAGTGGTAAAAACTACAAAGAGATAGAGTTATTGTGGGGGGAGGGGGAACAATACTGTAAAATTGTCTCATGGGGCTTCACCAGGCTCCTGTGACAAATACCTGAGAAAACTCCCCTCCTGCTTCTACCTTTGGGAAGGAAAAAGGAAAACCAGTTTGAAATGTGCCAGAGTACCTGGTTCTTAACAAGGCTTGTCCACAGGAGAAACTACTTAACTTCAGCCTAATCTGCTCTAGTATAATCAGAGACTAAATAACCTAGGGGAAGGGAATTACCCCTTCCACTGTAGCCCATTCTAGTCATGTTCCACCTAAGGCAGAAAATTAATTAAACAGAGGAACACTTCTGAGGTTCACAGTATAAACCCAATCATAGCATTCCAGAACATGGCAGCTGGGGTCTGCGTGTTTGTCCCTCACATACGATACCAAAACGCTGCTCCTGAGGTCTGAATGTTTGTCCCTTACACAGTATTCCAGAACACTGCTACGAGGGTCTGAATGTTTGTCCCTCACAAAGGATTCCAGAACATTGATGCTGGGGTCTGAATGTTTACCCTTAACTTAGGATTTCAGAACGCTGCTCCTGGGGTCTGAATGTTTGTCCCTTACACAGTATTCCAGAACACTGCTACGAGGGTCTGAATGTTTGTCCCTCACAAAGGATTCCAGAACATTGATGCTGGGGTCTGAATGTTTACCCTTAACTTAGGATTTCAGAACGCTGCTCCTGGGGTCTGAATGTTTGTCCCTCACACAGGATTCCAGAACACTGATGCTGGGATCTGAATGTCTGTCCCTCACATAGAATACTAGAACACATACGAGGGTCAGAAAGTTTGTCCCTCACATAGGATTCCAGAACACTGCTGCTGGGGTCAGAAAGTTTGTCCCTCACATAGGATTCCAGATCACTGCTACGAGGTTCTGAATATTTGTCCATTACATAGGACTCCAGAACACTGCTGCCGTGGTCTGAATGTTTGTCCCTCACATAGGATTCCAGAACACTGCTGCTGGGGTCTGAATGTTTGTCCCTCACATAGGATTCCAGAACACTGCTGCGAGGGTCTGAATGTTTCTCCCTCACATAGGATTCCAGAACATTGCTGCGAGGGTCTAAATGTCTGTCCTTCACATAGGATTCCAGAACACTGCTACGAGGTTCTGAATGTTTGTCCATTACATAGGATTCTAGAACACTGCTGCTGGGGTCTGAATGTTTGTCCCTCACATAGGATTCCAGAACACTGCTGCCGGGGTCTGAATGTTTGTCCCTCACATAAGACTCCAGAACACTGCTATGAGGGTCTGAATATTTGTCCCTCACATAGGATTCCAGAACCCTCCTGCTGTGGTCTGAATGCGTGTCCCTCACATAAGATTCCAGAACACTGCTACGAGGGTCTGAATGTCTGTCACATAGGACTCCAGAACATGGCTGCTGTGGTCTGAAAGTTTTTCCCTCACATAGGATTCCAGAACACTAATGCAATGATCTGAATATTTGTCCCTCACATAGGATTCCAGAACACTGATTCCAGGGTCTGAATGTTTGTACCTCACATAGGATTCCAGAACACTGCTGCTGGGGTCTGAGTGTTTGTCCCACACATAGGATTCCAGAACACTGCTGGGAATGTCTGAATGTTTGCCCATCACATGGGATCCCAGAACACTGCTGCTGGCATCTGAATGTTTGTCCCTCACACAGGATTCCAGAACACTGCTGCTGTGGTGTGTTTTTTTTCTTTTACTTTTTGTCTTTTTAAAATTACTTTATTAATATTTATTTTTAATTGACATATGACATTGCAAGTTTTTTGTAATGTAAAATGTGATGGACAAACATTCAGACCAATGCAGTAGCGTTCTGGAATCCTATGTGAGGGACAAAGTATGCATACATTGTGAAAAGGTCAAATCTAGCTAATTAACAAATACATCAACTCACATAGTTATCATCTTTGTGGTGAATACACATAACATTAACTTTCTATTTCTCAAGAATACAATATGTCATCATCAATTACAATCACCTTGCTCTACAGCACATCTCCTGAAATGTATTCCTTCTGTCTAGCTCTAAGTATATATCCTCTGATTAACATCACGGCAACTCCCCTTTACCCCTAGCTCTGATACCCACCATTGTACTTTGTAATTCTATGAGATCAACTTTTTAACATACCAGTAGGAGACATGTCATGATATATTTGTCTTTTTGTGCCTGACCTATTTCACTTAACCTATTGTCCTCCAGGTTCATCCATGTTGTTTACAAATGACAGGGTTTTCTTTTTTTACTGCCAAATAGTATACCACATTTTCTTTCTTTTTTAATTATATTTCTGTATTGAATTATTTATATACATATTTTTTATTATACTTTAAGTTCTTGGATACATGTGCACAACGTGCAGGTTTGTTATGTTTGCATACATGTGCCATGTTGGTGTGCTGCACTCAGTAACTCGTCATTTACATAAGGTATATCTCCTAATGCTATCCCCCCTCCCCCCACCCCACAACAGGCCATGGTGTGTGATGTTCCCCTTCCTGTGTCTACGTGTTCTCATTGTTCAATTCCCACCTATGAGTGAGAACATGTGGTGTTTGGTTTTTTTGTCCTCGTGATAGTTTGCTGAGAATGATGATTTCCAGCTTCATCCATGTCCCTACAAAGGACATGAACTCATCATTTTTTATGGTTGCATAGTATTCCATGGCGTATATGTGCCACATTTTCTTAATCCAGTCTATCGTTGTTGGACATTTGGACATTTCGGTTGGTTCCAAGTCTTTGCTATTGTGAGTAGCGTCGCAATAAACATACGTATGCATGTGTCTTTATAGCAGCATGACTTATATTCCATTGGGTATATATCCAGTAATTGGAAGCCTGGGTCAAATGGTATTTCTAGTTCTAGATCCCTGAGGAATCACCACACTGTCTTCCACAATCGTTGAACTACTTTACAATCCCACTAACAGTGTAAAAGTGTTCCTGTTTCTCCATATACTCTCTAGCATCTGTTGTTTCCTGACTTTTAAATGATCGCCATTCTAACTAGTGTGAGATGATATCTCATTGTGATTTTGATTTGCATTTTTCTGATGGCGAGTGACGATGACCATTTTTCATGTGTCTGTTGGCTGCATAAATGTCTTCTTTTGAGAAGTGTCTGTTCATATCCTTCGCCCACTTGTTGATGGGGTTTTTTCTTGTACATTTGTTTGAGTTAATTGTAGATTTTGGATATTATCCCTTTGTCAGATGACTGCAAAAATTTTCTCCCATTCTGTAGGTTGCCTGTTCACTGGTATGTCTTTTGCTTCACAGAAGCTCTTTAGTTTAATTATATCCCATTTGTCAATTTTGGCTTTTGTTGGCATTGCTTTTGATGTTTAAGACATGAAGTCTTTGCCCATGCCTATGTCCTGAATGGTATTGCCTAGGTTTTCTTCTAGGGTTTTCATGGTTTTAGGTCTAACATTTAAATCTTTAATACGTCTTGAATTAATTTTTGTATAAGTTGAAAGGAAGGGATCCAGTTTCAGCTTTCTACATATGGCCAGCCAGTTTTCCCAGCACAATTTGTTAAATAGGGAATCCTTTCCCGATTTCTTTTGTCAGGTTTGTCAAAGATCAGATAGTTGTAGATGTGTGGTATTATTTCTGAGGGCTCTGTTCTGTTCCATTGATCTATATATCTGCTTTGGCACCAGTACCATGCTGCTTTGGTTATTGTAGCCTTGTAGTACAGTTTGAAGTCAGGTAGCGTGATGCCTCCAGCTTTGTTCTTTTAGCTTAGGATTGACTTGGCCATGTGGGCTCTTTTTTGGTTCCATATGAACTTTAGTTTTTTCCAATTCTGTGAAGAAAATCATTGTTAGCTTGATGGGGATGGTATTGAATCTATAAATTACCTTGGGCAGAATGGCCATTTTCACGATATTGATTCTTCCTACCCATGAGCATGGAATGTTCTTCCATTGATTTGTGTCCTCTTTTATTTTGTTGAGCAGTGGTTCATAGTTCTCCTTGAAGAGGTCCTTCACATCCCTTGTAAGTTGGATTCCTAGGTAATTTATTCTCTTTGAAACAATTGTGAATGGGAATTCACTCATGATTTGGCTCTCTGTTTGCCTGTTATTGCTGTATAAGAATGCTTGTGATATTTGCACATGGATTTTGTATCCTGAGACCTCACTGAAGTTGCTTACCAGCTTAAGGAGATTTTGGGCTGAGATGATGGCGTTTTCTAGATACACAAACATGTCATCTGCAAACAGGGACAATTTGACTTCCAAGAAATAACTAAGATCAGAGCACAATTGAAGGAGATAGAGACACAAAAATCCCTTCAAAAAATCAATGAATTCAGGGGCTGGTTTTTTAAAAAGATCAACAAAATTGACAGACCGCTAGCAAGACTAATAAAGAAGAAAAGAGAGAAGAATCAAATAGATGCAATAAAAAATGATAAAGGGGATAACACCACTGATCCCACAGAAATACAAACTACCATCAGAGAATACTGTAAACACCTCTATGCAAATAAACTAGAAAATCTAGAAGAAATGGATAAATTCCTCAACACATAAGCCCTCCCAAGACTAAACCAGGAAGAAGTTGAATCTCTTAATAGACAAATAACAGGCTCTGAAATTGAGACAATAATAGCATACTAACCATAAAAAGTCCAGGACAAGACGTAATCCACAGCCGAATTCTACCAAAGGTACAAGGATGAGCTGGTACTATTCCTTCTGAAACTATTCCAATCAAGAGAATCCTTGTCCTTGTCTGAATCCTTGTCCCTCACATAGGATTCCAGAACACTGCTACGAGGGTCTGAATGTTTGTCCCTCACATAGGATTACAGAACACTGCTACAAGGGTCTGAATGTTCGTCCTACACAAAGGATTCCAGAACACTCCTGCTGTGGTCTGAATGTTTGTCCCTCACATAGGATAACACAACACTCCTGCTGTGGTCTGAATGCTTGCCCCTCACATAGGATTCCAGAACACTGCTGTTGGGATCTCAGTGTTGGTCCCTCACATAGGGTTCCAGAACATGGCTACAATGCTCTGAATGTTTGTCCCTCACATAGGATTTCAGAACACTGCTGTTGGGGTCTGAAGGTTTGTCCCTCACATAGGATTCCAGAACACTGCTGCTGGGGTGTGAATGTCCGTCAAATAGGATTGGAGAACACTCCTGCTGTGGTCTGAATGTTTGTCCCTCACACAGGTTTCCAGAACACTCCTGCTGTGGTCTGAATGTTTGTCCCTCACATAGGATTCCAGAACACTGCTGCTAGGTTGAGTGTCTGTCCCTCACATGGGCTTCTAGAACACTGTTATGAGGGTCTGAATGTTTGTCCCTCACACAGGATTCCTGAACACTCCTACTGTGGTCTAAATGCTTGTTCCTCACATACGATTCCACAACACTCCTGCTGTTGTCTGAATGTTTCTCCCTCACATAGGATTCCAGAACACTGCTGCTGGGTTCTGAGGGTTTGTCCCTCACATAGGATTCCAGAACACTGCTAGGAGGGTCCGAATATTTGATCCTGAAATAAGATTCCAGAAAACTGCTGCTCGAGTCTGAGTGTTTGTCCCTCACATGGCATTCAAGAACACTGCTGCTGGGGTCTGAATGTCCCTCACATAGAATTCCAGAACACGGTTACAAGGGTCTGAATGTTTGTCCCTCACATAGGACTCCAGAACACTCCTGCTGTGGAGTGAATATTTGTCCCTCCCATAGGATTCCAGAACAATTCTGCTATGATCTGAATGTTTGTCCCTCACATAGCATTCCAGAAGACTGCTGCTGCGGACTGAATGTTTTTCCCTCACATAGGATTCCAGAACACTGCTCCTAGATTCTGAGTTTTTTTTCCCTCAAATAGGATTCCAGAACACTGCTATGAGGGTATGAAAGATTTTCCCTCAAATAGGATTCCAGAACACTCCTGCTGTGTTCTGAATTTTTGTCCCTCACATACGTCTCCATAGCACTCCTGCTGTGGTTAGAATGTTTGTCCCTCAGATAGCATTCAAGAACACTGCTGCTGGAGTCTGAATGTTTGTCTCTAACATAAAATTCCACAGCACTACTGCTCTGGTCTGAAGGTTTGTCCTTCACATATGATTTCAGAACAGTGGTGCTGGATTCTGAGCGTTTGTCATTCACATAGGATTCCAGAACACTGCTAAGAGGGTCTGAATATTTGTCCCTCACTTAGGATTCCAGAATACTGCTGCTGGGTTCTGAGTGTTTGTCCCTCAAATAGGATTCCAGAACACTGCTGATGGGGTCCAAATGTCTGTCCCTCACATAGGATTTCAGAACAATCCTGCTGTGAGCTGAATGTTTGTCCATCACATAGGATTCCAGAACACTGCTGCTGAGGTCTCAATGTTTGGCCCTCAGAGAGCATTCCAGAACAATCTTGCCGTGGTCTGAATGTTTGTCCCTCATGTAGGGTTCTGTTACACTCCTGCTGTGGTCTAAATGTTTATCCCTCACATAGGACTCCAGAACTCTCCTGCTATGGTCTGAATGTTGGCCCCTCACATAGCAGTCCAGAACACTGCTGCTGTGGACTGAATGTTTGTCCCTCACATAGGATTCCAGAGCACTGCTCCTGGATTCTGAGTTTTTTTTCCCTCACATAGGATTCTAGAACACCCCTACGAGGATACGGATGCTTTTCCCTCACATAGGGTTCCAGAACACTGCTGCTGGGGTCTGAATGCTTGTTCTTCACATAGGATTCCAGAACACTCCTGCTGTTGTCTGAATGTTTGACACTCACATAGGACTCCAGAGCACTCCTGCTGTCGTTTGAATGTTTGTCCCTCACATAGGATTTCAGAATACTTCTACTGTGTTCTGAATATTTGTCCCTCAAATAGGATTCCAGAGAACTGCTACAAGGGTCTGAATATTTCTCCTTCACAACGGATTCCAGAACACTCCTGCTGTGGTCTGAATGTTTGTCCCTCACATAGGATTTCAGAACACTCCTGCTGTGTTCTGAAAGTTTGTCCCTCACATAGGACTCCAGAACACTCCTGCTGTTGTCTGAAAGTTTCTCCCTCAGATAGCATTGAAGAACAATGCTGCTGGAGTCTGAATGTTTGCCCTTCACATAGGATTCCAGAACACTCTTGTGATGGTCTGAATGTCCCTCACATATGATTCCAGAAAACGCCTGCTGTGGTCTGAAGGTTTGTGCCTCACATAGGATTCCAGAACATTTCTGCTGTGGTCTGAATATCCCTGACATAGAATTCCAGAACACTGCTATGAGGGTCTGAATGCTTTTCTGTCTCATAACACTCCAGAACACTGCTTCTAGGGTCTGAATGTTGGTCCCTGACATAGGATTCCAGAACACTGCTACGAGGGTCTAAATGTTTGTTCCTCACATAGGATTCCAGAACACTCCTGCTGTTGTTTGTATGTTTGTCTGTCACATAGGATTCCAGAACACTGTGGCTGGGGTATGTATGTCCCTGATATAGGATGGAAGAACGCTGATACCAGGTTCTGAATGTTTGTCTGTCACACAGGATTCCAGAACACCACTATGAGGGTCTGAATGTCTCTCCCTCACAAAGGATTCCAGAAAACTGCTGCAAGGGTCTGAATGTTTGTCCCTCCCATAGGACTCCAGAACACAGCTGCGAGGGTCTAAATGTCTGTCCCTCACATAGGATTGCATAACACTGTTAGGAGGGTCAGGATGTTTGTCCTTCATGTAGCATTCCAGAACACTGCTGCCGTGGTCTGAAAGTTTCTCCCTCACATAGCATTCCAGAACACTGCTATGAGGGTCTGAATGTTTGTCCCACACCTAGGATTCCAGAACACCTCTGCTTCCATGCCGTGGTCTGAAAGTTTCTCCCTCGCATAGGATTCCAGAACACTGCTATGAGGGTCTGAATGTTTGTCCCACATCTAGGATTCCAGAACACCTCTGCTGGATTCTCAAAGTTTATCCCTCACATATGATTCCAGGACACTGCTACGAGGGTATGAATGCTTGTCCTTCACATAGGATTCCACAACACTGCTACGAGGGTCTGAGTGTTTCTCCCTCACATAGTATTCCAGCACACTTCTGCTGGTGTCTGAATGTTTGTACCTCACATCACATTCCAGAACACTGCTGCTGGGGTTTGAATGTCTGTCCCTCACATAGAATTCCAGAACACTGCTGGGAGGGTCTGAATGTATGTCTCTCCTATGGGATTCCAGAACACTGCTCCAAGGGTCTAAATATCTCTCCCTCACATAAAATTCCAGCACACGGCTACGAAGTTCTGAATGTTTGTCCCTCACATAGGATTCCAGAGCCCCCTTGCTGTGGTCTGAACGTTTGTCCCTCACATAGGATTTCAAAACACTGCTACGAAAGTCTGAATCTTTGTCCCTCACATGGGACTCCAGAACACTCCTACTGGGGTCTCAATGTTTGTCCCTCACATAGGATTCCTGAACACTGCTACAAGGGTCTGAACGTTTGTCCTTCACAAAGGATTCCAGAACACTCCTTCTGTGGTCTGAATATTTGTCCCTCACATAGTATTTCAGAACACTCCTGCTGTGTTCTGAATGTTTGTCCATCACATAGGACTCCAGAACACTCCTGCTGTGCTGTGAAATTTTGTCCCTCACATAGCATTCAAGAACACTGCTATGAGGGTCTGAATGTTTGCACCTCACATGGGATTCCAGGACACTCCTGTTGTGGTCTGAATGTTTGTACCTCGCATAGGATTCCAGAACACTCTTGCTGTGGTCTGAATGTTTGTTCATCACATAGGATTTCAGAACACTCCTACGAGGGTCTGCATGTTTGTCCCTCAAATTGAATTCCAGAACACTCATGCAGTGGTCTGAATATTTCTCCCTCACACAGGATTCCAGAACACTCCTGCTATGGTCTGAGTGTTTGTTCCTCACATAAGATTCCAGAAAACAGCTACAAGGGTCTCAATGTTTGTCCTTCAGACAGGATTACAAAACACTGCTGTCCTGGTCTGAATATTTGTTCCTCACATAGGATTCCAGAACAATCTTGCTATGGTCTGAATGTTTGTCCCTCACATAGGATTACAGTACACTGCTACGAGGGTCTGAATGCTTGTCCTTCACATAGGATTCCAGAACACTGTTGCTGGGTTCTGAGTGTTTGTGTCTCACGTAGGATTCCAGAAGAAGCTACAAGGGTCTGAATGTTTGTCCATCACATACGACTCCAAAACACTGCTGCTGGCGTCTGAATGTTTGTCCCTCACATAGGATTCCAGAACACTGCAAAGAGGGTCTAAATGTTTGTCCCTCACATAGGATTCCAGAACACTTCTGTTCGGGGTCTGAATGTTTGTCTCTCACATGGGATTCCAGAACACTGCTGCTGTGGTCTAAATGTCTGTCCCTCACATAGGATTCCACAACACTACAAGGCTCTGAATGTTTGTCCCCCACATAGGATTCCAGAACACTGCTGCCATTGTCTAAATATTTGTCCCTCACGTAGGATTCCAGAAGCCTGCTGCGAGTGTCTGAATGTTTGTCCCTCACATAGCATTCCAGAACACTCCTGCTGTGGTTTGAATGTTTGCCCTCACATAGGATTCGAGAACACTCCTGCTGTGGTGGGAATGTTTGTCTCTCAAGTAGGATTTCAGAAAACTGTTATGAGGGTCTGAATGTTTGTCTCTCACATAGGATTCCAGAACACTGCCACAAGGGTCTGAATGTTTGTCCCTCACGCAGGATTCCAGAACACTCTTGCTGTGGTTTGAATGTTTGCCCTCACATAGGATTCGAGAACACTCCTGCTGTGGTGGGAATGTTTGTCTCTCAAGTAGGATTTCAGAAAACTGCTATGAGGGTCTGAATGTTTGTCCCTCACATAGGATTCCAGAAGACTTATGCTGGCATCTGAATTTTTGTCCCTCACATAGGATTCCAGAACACTCCTGCTGTGGTCTGAATGTTTATCCCTCATGTAGGATTCCAGAACACTGCTATGAAATTCTGAATGTTTGTCCCTCACTTAGGGTTCCAGAAAATTACTATGAGGGTCTGAATGTTTGTCCCTCACATTGGATTCCAGAACACTCTTGCTGTTGTCTGAAAGTTTGTCCCTCACTTAGGATTCCAGAACATTGCTACGAGGGTCTGAATGTTTGTCCTTCACATAGGATTCCAGAACTCTGCTGCTGTGATCTGAATGTTTGTCCCTAACAAAGGATTCCAGAACACTCTTGCTGTGGTCTGATTGTTTGTTCCTCACATAGGATTCCAGAACACCACTACGAGGCTCTGAGTGTTTGTGCCTCACATAGGATTCCAGAACACTGCTGCCATTGTCTGAATGTTTGTCCCCCATCTGGGATTCCAGAACACTGCTGCAAGGGTCTGAATGTATGTCCCTCACATAGGATTCTAGAACATTGATGCTAGGGTCTGTATGTTTGCCCTTAACATATGATTTCAAAACACTGCTCCTGGGTTCTGAATGTTTGTCCTTCACATAGGAATACAGAGCACTGCTGCTGGAGTCTGAATGTTTGTCACTCACATAGTATTCCAGAACACTGCTGCGAGGATCTGAATGTTTGTCCCTCACATGGGATTCCAGAACACTGCTGCGAGGGTCTAAATGTCTGTCCCTCACATAGGTTTCCAGCACAATGGTACCAGGTTCTGAATGTTTGTCCCTAACATGGGATTCCAGAGCACTCCTGCTGTGCTCTGAATGCTTCTCCCTCACATAGGATTCCAGAACACTGCTACGAGGGTCTAAATGCTTATCCCTCATATAGGATACCAGAACACTCCTGCTGAGGTCTGAATGTTTGTTCCTTACATAGGATTCCAGAACACTCCTGCCGTGGTCTGAATGTTTGTCCCTCACATAGGATTCCAGAACATTCGTGCTGGGGTCTCAATGTTTCCCTTAACTTAGGATTTCAGAGCACTGCTCCTGGGGTCTGAATGTTTGTCCCTCACATAGGATTACAGAACACTGCTACGAGGGTATAAATAATTCTCCCTCACCTAGTATTCCAGAACACTGTTGCAAGGGTCTGAATGTTGGTCCGTCATACAGGATTCCGGAACACTGCTGCCGTGGTCTGAATGTTTGTCCCTCACATAGGATTCCGGAACACTGCTACAAGGGTCTGAATGTTTGTCCTTCACATACCATTCCAGAACACTGCTGCCGTGGTCTGAATGTATGTCCCTCACATAGGATTCCAGAACACTGCTACTAGGTTCTGAATGTTTTTCCCACACCTAGGATTCCAGAAGACTTCTGCTGGTGTCTGAATGGTTGTCCCTTCCATATGATTCCAGGACACTGCTACGAGGGTCTTAATATTTTTCCTTCACATAGGATTCCAGAACACTGCTGCTGGGGTCTGAATGTTTGTCCCTCACATAGGATTCCAGAACACTGCTGCTGGGGTCTGAATGTCTGCCCCTCAAATCGGATTCCAGAACACTGCTGCTGGGGTTTGAATGTCTTTCCCTCACATAGAATTCCAGAACACGGCTGGGAGGGTCTGAATGTTTGTCTCTCACATGGGATACCAGAACACAGCTGCGAGGGTCTAAATGTCTCTCCCTCACATAAGATTCCAGGACACTGCTACGAGGTTCTGAATGCTTGTCCCTCACATAGGATTCCAGAACACTGCTACGAAGGTCTGAATGTTTGTCCTTCACATAGCATTTCGGAACTGCCATGGTCTGAATGTTTGTCCCTCACATAGTATTCCAGTACAGTGCTATGAGGGTCTGAATGTTTGTCCCTCAGATAGGATTCCAGAACACTGCTACGAGGGTCTGAAAGTTTGTCCCTCACATAGGATTCCAGAACACTGCTGTTGGGTTTTGAATGTCTGTCCCTCACATAGAATTCCAGAACACTGCTGCGAGTGTCTGAATGTTTGTCCCGCAGATGGGATTCCAGAACACTGCTGTGAGGGTCTAAATGTCTGTCCCTGACATAACATTCCAGCACACTGCTACGAGGTTTTGAAATGTTTGTCCCTCACATAGGATTGCAGAGCACTCCTGTTGTGGTCTGAATGTTTGTCCCACACATAGGATTCCAGAACACTCCTGCTGTACTCTGAATGTTTGTCCCTCACATAGGATTCCAGAACATTCCTGATGTGGTCTGATTGTTCCTCACATAGGATTCCAGAACACTGCTACGAGGTTCTGAATTTTTTTCCCTCACATAGGATTCCAGAACACTGCTACGAGGTTCTGAATTTTTTTCCCTCACATAGGATTCCAGAACACTGCTACGAGGGTTTGAATGTTCTTCCCTCACATAGGATTCCACAACACTACTGCTGGGGTCTGAATGTTTTTCCCTCACATAGGATTCTAGAACACTCCAGCTGGCTTCTGAGTGTTTGTCCCTCACATAGGATTTCTGAAGACTGCTGCTGTCACTATAGTCGTTGCAAGTGTCTGAATGTTTGACCTTCACCAAACACCAAATATCCTGGCCCTTTAGTCTTGGACTTTCCAGCCTCCAGATCTGTGAGCAATAATCTCTGTTGTTTATGAATTACTCAGTCTAAAGTATTTTGTTATAGTAGCCTAAAGAGACTAAGAGAGCATCAGCTGCCCTGTCACCTCATCACCACATTACTGAAGCTATACTAACAGCAGTCACTTTTCGTGGGTACTTCATGCATGAGAATAAAGGGAACAAATTGCAAGGCATACTAAAGTCCAAAAAAAGAAAAAAATACAATTTGTGTCAACAGAGCAAGCTTCAGAAGCAGACAAAAATATGATTTTGGATTTTTTTTAAACCTCTGGAGAATATGTTAAGGGCTCTAATGAATGAAGTAGACAGCATTCAAGTGTAGATGGGTAATGTAATCAGAAAGACAGACATCGTAAGAACCTTCAACATAATGTAGTGATAAAAAATGTGGTAAATAACTGAAGAATACCTCTGATGGCTTATTAGTAGACTGGACTCAGCTGAGTAAAGAGTCTCTGAGCTTGAGGATTTATCATCAGAAACTTCAAAAACTAAAGAAAAGAAACACTGAAAAGAACAGAAGATGATATCCAAGACTGTGGGACAACTACAAAAGGTGAAACAGAGTAGTGAGAATACCAGGAGGAGAAGAAATAGAAGAAAGTTCTGCAACTACCATGTCTGAGAACTTCCAGTATTAATGTCAGACACCAAACCAAAAATCCAGGAAGCTCCGAGAACACCATGCAGAATAAATGCCAACAACCTACACTTGGACATATAATTTTCAAACTATATGAAATAAAAGATAAAGGAAAACTCTGAAAGAAACCAGAGGTGGGGCAGAAAACACCTTACCTACAGAGACACAAAGATAAGAACGGCATTCAACATTGCAGAAATTGTGAAAGCAAGAAGACAGTGAAATGAAAAATTGAAAATATTGACAGAAAAAACCCCACCAACCTAAGTTTCTGTACACACTGAAACCACCCTTCAAAAGTGAAGGAGAATTAAGGCCTTCCTCAGAAAAATAAAAATTCAAGAAACTTGTTGCCAGGAGACCTGTCTTGCAAGAAATGTTAAATGAAATTCTTTAGAGGGAAACAAAAGATATTTAACTGAAACTTGGATCAACAATTTTTTAAAAAGATCATTAAAGAAAGAATTGCGGTACAATAAAAACCTATATATTTATTCTTAATTGATCTGACCAAGAAGTTCACAGACAATAACAAATACACACAGATAGATTATGTATGCTTATACACAAGTGAAATGAGTAACACTAATACAAGGAATGCAATGGAAGGATGGGAGGGAGGAATTGTGGTAAAATAAAAACATGTATTTATTCATAATTGATCTGACCAATAAGTTTGTAGATAACAATAAATACACACAGATAGATTATGTATGCTTATACACAAGGGAAATAAGGAACAATAATACAAGGAATGGAATGGAAGGATGGGAGGGAGGAATCAGGTGTTTTCTTTGTTAAGCAGGTAGTCACCCGTGAAGTGGGATAGTGTTATCTGAAAGTGGACTTGAATTGGTTGTAAATGTATATTGAGGAATTAGGTGTTTTGTTTGTTAAGCAGGTAGTCCTATTTGTGGGATAGTGGGATAGTGTTATTTGAAAGTGGACTTGAATTTGTTGTAAATGTATATTGCAAATTCTGTGGCAAATAGTTAAAAAAAATTTTAAAAAGAGAAGTACATGCTAAAAAAGACGGAAAATGTAGTCATCTAAAATCATCAATGAAAACTGCAAAAGGCAGAAAAAGAGTGGTAGACAAAAGAATGAAGACTGAGGAGAATGAATAGAAAACAGTAACAAATATAGTAGATATTAATCCAATGATATCAATAATCACTTTGAATGTTAATAGTATGAATGTACCAATTCAAAGATAGAGATTGTCAGAGCCTATCAAAAGACAGACACATCTTGTTTCACTGCACTTTGCTTTATTGTGTTTTGTGACCATGTTTTTTACATATTGAAAGTTTGTGGCCACCCTGCAATAAGCAGGTCTCACTGGCACCATTGTTCCTAGAGCATGTGCTCACTTCACGTCTCTGTGTCACATTTCGGCATTCTCACAGTATTTTAAGCTTTTTATTATTGAATCTGTTATGGTGATCTGTAATCAGTGATCTTTAATGGTACTGTTGTCATTGTTTTGGGAACCACAAATCACACCCGGATAAGACCGCAAACAATTGACAAATGCGTTTGTTCTGACTGCCCCACCAACGGGCCATTTCTCTTTCTCTCTCTTTTTCTCAGGCTTCTTTTTATTAATATTAAAATGTGGCCAATTAATAACCCTACAATAGCCTCTATATGTTCAAGTGAAAGAAGAGTTGCATGTCTGTCACTTTAAACCAAAAGGAAGAAATAATTAAGCTTAGTGAGGAAGGCATGCTGTAAGCAAGACAGGCCAGTAGCTAGACCTCATGCAACAAACACTTAGCCAAGTTGTGAATGCAAACGAAGTGTTCTGGAAAGAAATTTAAAGTACTACTCCAGTGAACACATGAATGATAAAAAGCTAAACAGTCTTGCTGCTGTTATGAAGAAAGTTTAATTGGTCTAGATAGAAGATGAAAAAAAAATTCCATTAAGCCTAAGCCTCTCTTTTTACTTTTTTTCTTTGTTTTTAAGACAGAGTTTCATTCTTCTTGCCCAAGCTGGAGTGCAATGGCGCAATCTTGGCTTATCGCAACCTCTGCCTCCCAAGTTCAAGCCATTCTCCTGCCTCAGCATCCCGAGTAGCTGGGATTACAGGCATGCGCCACCACGCCTGGCTGATTTTTTATATTTTTAGTAGAGATGGGGTTTCTCCACGTTGGTCAGACTGGTGTCGAACTCCCGACCTCAGGTGATCTGCCCGCCTCGGCCTCCCAAATTGCTAGGATTACAGGTGTGACAGCCACCGCATCCAGTCTCTCTTCAATTCTATGAAGACTCAGAGAGGTGAGGCAGCTGCAGAAGAAAAGTCTGAAGCTAGAAGAGCTTGTTTCTTGAGGTTTAAGGAAAAAAGTCATCTCCATAACATAAAAGCGCAAGATAAAGCAGCGAGTACTGATGGAAAACCTGCAGAAAGCTATCTAGAAGATAACTGATTAAGATGGCTACACTAAACAGATTTGCAATGGAGACAAAACAGCCTTCTACTAGAAGGAGATGCCATCTAGGATGTTCCCAGCTAGAGAGGAGTTGATGCCTGGCTTTAAGGCTTCAAAGGACATGCTGACTCTTTTGTTAAGGGCTAATGCAGTTGGTGATGTTAACTTGAAACCAATGATGATTTACTATTCTGAAAATCCAAGGGCCCTGAAGAATTATGATAAAACACAGCTCTGCCTGTACTCTACAAATGGGAACAAAGCCTGGATGACAGACTATCGGTTTACAAATACGGTTTACTGAATATCTTAAGCCCACTGTTGACACCTACTGCTCAAGAAATAAGATTACTTTCAAAGTATTACCGCTCACTGACAATGCCCCTGGTACTCAAGGGCATTTACAGAGATGTATAAAGAGCTGAATATTGTTTTCATGCCTACTAACCCAACATTCATTCTAGTGCCCTTGGATCACAGAATAATTTCAACTTTCAAGTCTTATCACTTAAAAATATATTTCATAAAGCTATAGCTTCTCTAGAAAGTGATTCCTTTGATAGATCTGGGCAAAATAATTGAAAACCTACCGGAAAGGATTCACCATTCTAGATGCTATTGAGAACATTGATGATTTAAAAAAGAAGATCAAAATAGCAACATTAGGAGAAGTTGGGGCCGGGCTTGGTGGCTCATGCCTGTAATCCCAGCACTTTGGGAGGCCAAGGCACGTGGATCACGAGGTCAGGAATTTGAGACCAGACTGGCCAACAAAGTGAAATCCTCTCTGTACTAAAAACACACAAAAAATTAGCTGGGCCTGGTCGGGGGTGACTGTAATCCCAAATACTTGGGAGGCTGAGGCAGGAGAATTGCTTGAACCCGGGAGGTGGAGGTTGCAGTGAGCTGAGATCGCATCACTGCACTCCAGTCCAGGCAAGATTTCATCTCAAAAAAAGAAAAAAAAAAGAGAGAGAGAAGTTGGGAAGATTATTCCAACCCTCACAGATGACACTGAGGGGTTCACGACTTCTCTGTAGGAAGTAACTGCAGATATGGTGGAAATAACAAGAGCACTAGAAACAGAGACAGAGCCTGAAGATGTGGCGAGACTGCAGCAGCCTCCGGAGAAAACGTGAGTGGATGAGTTGCTTCCACGGATGAGCAAAGAAAGTGGTTTCTTGAGATGAAATCTACTCGTGGTGAAGACAGTGTAAACATTGTTGAGATGACAACAGATTTAGAATAAACTTAGTTGGTACAGCAGAAGGAGGGCTTGACAGGATTGAACCCAGTGATTTACAATAATACATAAACTTAGTTGGTACAGCAGTACGAAGGTCTGACAGGATTGAATCCAATTTTGAAAGTTCTACTGTGGGTAAAAAGCTATCAAACAACATCGTATGCTACAGATAATTCTTTTGTGAAACAGAGAGTCAATTGACACAGCAAACTTCAATGTTGTCTTATTTTAAGAAATTGCCACAGCCACCCCAACGCTCAGCAACCACCACCTTACATTAAGGCAAGTCTCTCCATCAGCAAGAAGACTGAAACTTGGCCAGGTGCAGTGGCTCACACCTGTCATCCCAACAACTTGGGAGGCCAAGTTGTGTGGATTGCTTGAGCCCAGGACGTCAAGGCAACATGGCAAAACCTCATCTCTACAAAAAAAAAATACAAGAATTAGCTGGACATGGTGGCATGCACCTGTAGTCCCAGCTAGTCAGGAGTCTGAGGTGGAGGTTTGATCGAGCATGAGGTTGAGGCTGCAATTACTCCAGCCTGAGCCACAGAGTAAAACCCTGTCACACACACAAAAAAAGATTGCAGTTTTCTGAAGGCTCAGATGACTGTTAGCACTTGTTAACAATAAAGTATTTGTAAATTAAAGTATGCACACTTTGTAGACATATGCTGTTGCACACTTTATACAGCACAGTATAAACATACTTTTACATGCACTGGGAAACCAAAAGAAATTGTATAACTCACTTTATTGCAGTGGTCTGGAACCAAACCCACATATATCTCTGATGCATGGCCGTCCTGTATTGTACACGTAAAAAAAAACTTAAGAGGGTATATTTTAGGTGAAATGGTCATCTCATTTTTTTTTTTTTGACATGGAGTCTCGCTCTGTTGCCCAGGCTGGAGTGCAGTGGCACTACCTTGGCTCACTGCAAGCTCTGCCTCCCGAGTTCACACCATTATCCTGCCTCAGTCTCCCAAGTAGCTGGGACTACAGGCGCCTGCCATCACGCGCAGCTAATTTTCTGTATTTTTAGTAGAAAGGGGGTTTCACTGTGTTAGCCAGGATGGTCTTGATCTCCTGACCTCGTGATCCACCTGCCTCGGCCTCCCAAAGTGCTGGGATTACAGGCGTGAGCCACCGCTCCCGGTCTCATTTTTTAAAAAGCGTGAGAATGAGAAATATATGGGGAGTGATGGTCAAGTTTACGGCATTATTTGTTGTGATGAGTCCTGGGGAGAATACTTATCACTAAACTCATTAAGATGTATATATTCGGTGTCACATGCCTGTAGTCCCAGCACTTTGGGAGGCCAAGGCAGGTGGATCATCTGAGGTCAGGAGTTCGAGACCAGCCTGGCCAACATGGTGAAACCCTGTCTCTACTAAAAAAATACAAAAATTAGCTGGGCGTGGGGGCGCACACCTGCGATACCAGCTACTCAGGAGGCTGAGGCAGGAGAATTGCTTGAACCTGGGAGGCAGAGGTTGCAGTTAGCTGAGATCGTGTCACTGCACTCCAGCCTGGGCCACAAGAGTAAAACATCCATCACACACACACACACACAAACACATACACACAAGGTATATATTAAATATTTGTAATTTTTGTATGTCAACCACAACTTAGTTTTATTTTATTTTATTTTATTTTGAGACAGAGTCTCGCTCTGTCACCCAGGCTGGAGTCCAGTGGTGCAATCTCGGCTCACTGCAAGCTCCACCCTCCAGGTTCACACCATTCTCCTGCCTCAACCTCCGGAGTAGCTGGAACTACAGGCACCCGCCACCACGCCCGGCTAATTTTTTGTATTTTTAGTAGAGACGGCTTTTCTCCGTGTTAGCCCAGATGGTCTTGATCTCCTGACGTGATCTGCCTGCCTCAGCTTCCCAAAGTACTCCGATTACAGGTGTGAGCCACCGCACCCAGGCAATTTTTATTTTTTTGAGTCAGAGTCTCACTCTGTCACCCAGGCTGGAGTGCAGTGGCACTATCTTGGCTCACTGCAACCTCTGCCTCCCATGTTCAAGCAATTCTCCTGCCTCAGTCTCCCGAGTAGCTGGGACTACAGATGCATGCTATCATGCCTGGCTAATTTTTTGATTTTTAATAGAGATGAGGTTTCACCATGTTGGCCAGGCTGGTCTCAAACTCCTGACCTCATGTGATCTGCCCACCTCAGCCTCCCAAAGTGCTGGGATTACAGGTGTAAGCCACTGCACCTGGCAATTTTTAAATATATATAACTAAAAATTAATAAAAAACAGGTATTTGCAAGTTTCCGTTTTGTTATATGCTTATTATTCTTTATCTTTATGTCAGGTTGTTGTGTCAATACACTTAGGAGATCATAGTTTCTAAATGGAAATACATATAAATATGTCTGAAATTTTTTCTTTTTTCTTTTTTTTTTTGAGATGGACTCTCGTTCTGTCACCCAGGCTGGAGTGCAGTGGTGCAATCTCAGCTCACTGCAACCTCCGCCTCCCAGATTCAAGTGATTATCCTGCCTCAGCCTCCAGAGTAGCTGGGATTACAGGCACCCGCCACGACACCCAGCTAACTTTTATATATATATTTTCTATTTTTAGTAAAGACAGGGTTTCACCATGTTGGCCAGGCTGGTCTCCAACTCCTGACCTCAGATGATCCACCCGCCTCGGCCTCCCCAAGTGCTGGGATTAAAGGTGTGAGCCACTGTGCCTGGCCTGGAATTTTTTTCTAAAATTTACATTTCTGAGTTAAGAATACTTAAAATATTATAAAAACAGAAGCAAAATTCATTATGTGTTTCATTAATTACCTTTATTAAAAACAATGCAATTATATTACAATAGGACAAAAAATGTTTAAGCAAACGAAAAGAAAACCATGACATACCCAAACTCAGGAGGAGGCAACAAAGGCAGTGCTAAAGGGAAGCTTACAGCTGCAGATGCTTAAATTAAAAAGAAGAAAGACCTCATACCCGTGCTAAAAGGAAGCTTACAGCTGCAGATGCTTAAATTAAAAAGAAAAAAGATCTCAAACCCATGCTAAAGGGAAGCTTACAGCTGCAGATGCTTAAATTAAAAAGAAGAAAGATCTCAAACCCATGCTAAAGGGAAGCTTATAGCTGCAGGTGCTTAAATTAAAAAGAAGAAAGATCTCAAATCAATAACCTAACATTACACCTGAAGGGGGGGAAAAAAAAAACTAATGACAAACCAAGCAAAAGGAAGAAAATAACAGATTAGAGCAGAGATAAGCAGAATAATACCAGAAAAAAAAGGAAAAAAAAACACACTGAGTTTTTTTTAAAGATCAATAACAATTTTAAAACTCACAGCTATATTAAGAAAAAAAGAGAAATCTCAAATACTAAAATCGTAAATAAAAGAGGTGACAGTACAACAGATGCCACAGAAATGAAAAAGATTAAAAGAGACTAATGTGAGCAACCGTATGCCACAAAACTGGGCAACCTAGAATAAATTTATAAATTCCTAGAAACACAAACCACCATACTGAATCACGGAGAAATAAAAAATCCAAAGAGACCTGTAACTAGTAAGAAGATTCAACCAGTAATCAAAAACCCCCCAAAAAAGAAAATTCCAGGTCCAGATAACTTCACTGGAGAATTTTACCAAACATTTCAAGAAGAATTAATGCCAATCCTCTGCAAAATATTCCAAAAATGTTCAAAAACCAGAAGGGGACATTCCAATCCATTCTATCAGGTCAACATTTATCTGGTTCCAGAGCCAGATGAACACCTTTTGTAATAAAAAGACTCAAAGAATTAGTAATATATGGAAACTCCTCAGTAAATAAAGATTGTACATGAAAAGCTCACAGCTAACATCATACTCAATGGTGAAAAACTAAAATCTTTTCCTCTAGGATCAGGAATAAGATAGCAACATCCCTTCCTGCCACTTCTATTCACCAAAGCACTGGAATTTCTACTCAGAATAATTAGGCAAGAGAAAGTAATAAAAAGCATGCAAATTGGAAAGGAAAAAGTACAAAATTTTGTTCACAGACAACAGGATGTAATGGGAAAAATCCTGAAATTCCACAAAATACTGGTAAAATAATGAAATTCAACAAAGTTTCAGGATACAGTAACACACACAAGTCAGTTGCATTTCCATAAACTAACAATGAACAATCTGCAAATGAAATTTTAAAAAGAGAGGCCAGGTGCAGTGGCTCACACTTATAATCCCAGCACTTTGGGAGGCCAAGTCGGGTAGACCACCTGAGGTCAGGAGTTCGTGACCAGCTGGGCCAATCCCATCTCTAATATAAATAGTAAAACTCTGTCTCTATTAAAAATACAGAAATTAGCTGGGCATAGTGGCAGACACCTGTAGTCCCAGCTACTTGGGAGGCTGAGGCAGGAGAATTGCTTGAACTTGGAAGGTGGAGGTTGCAGTCAGCTGAGATTGTGCCACTGCGCTCCAGCTTAGGAAACTGAGTGAGACGCCATCTCAAAGAAAAGAAAGAAAGGAAAGAAAGAGAGAGAAAGAAAAGAAAGATAAAACAAAAGAAAAGAAATTTTTGAAAAGAATGACATTTGGCTGGGTGCAGTGGTTCATGCCTGCAATCCCAGCAGTTTGGGAGGCCGAGGCGGGCAGATCACCTGAGGTCACAAGTTCAAGACTTGCCTGGTCAACATGGAGATACCCTGTCTCTACTAAAAATACCAAAAAATTAGCTGGGCGTGCTGGCGCACACCTGTGATCCCAGGTAATTGAGAGGCTGAGGTTGGAGAATCGCTTGAATAAAGAAGGCGCAGGTTGCAGTGAGCTGAGATAGTGCCACTGCACTCCAGCCTGGGAGACAGAGCAAGACTCCATCTCAAAAAAAAAAAAAAAGAATTACATTTAAAACAGCATTATAAAAATTAAAAATAAGCTTAACAAAAAGGGCAAAAGATTTGAACACAGAAAACTACAAAACACTGTTGAAAGAAATTAAACACAAATAAATGAAAAAGAAAAGCTGGGTTTGCAGATTAGATGATTTCATCTTGGAATGATGTCAACACTACTCGAAGTGACCTAGATTCAATACAATCCTTATAAAGATTCCAATGACATTTTTGATAAACAGAAAAACCTATATTAAAATTCATATGGAATCTCCAGGGCCCATGAATAGGCAAATCAATCTAGAAACAGAACAAAATTAAAGGTCTCAAAACAATTACCAAACTGCAATAAGCCAAAAAAAAATGTGGTCATGGCATAAAGACATACTTGACACACTTATGGACCAACACAACAGAGACCTCAGAAGCCAACCCTGGCATATATGGTTTGATGATCTTCCACAAGGATGCCAAGACCACTCAATGGCAAAGGACAGTTTCTTCAACAAATGGTGTTGGGAAAATTGTATATCTACATGCAAAACAATGAAGTTGGACTCTTACCTTACACCACGTTAAAATTAATTCAAAGTGAATTATAAACCTAAATGTAAAACTAGAACTATCAAACTCCTAGGGAAAACAAATTTGGAAAATGCTTTATGACGATGAATTTGTCAATAATTTTTAGGATACGACATTAAAAGCTCAGGCAGTAAAAGCAAAAATATATCAAACTTAAAACTTTTGTACCACAAAGGTCACAAACAACAGGGTAAAAGGCAAACTGTAGAATAAAAGAAAATACCAGTTGAGTGTCCCTTATTTGAAATGCTTGGGATGTGTTTCAGATTTTGTAATATTTGCATTATTCTTACTGGTTGAGCATCTCGAATTCAAACACCTGAGTCTGCGATGCTCCAATAAGCATTTCCTTTGAGTGTCATGTTGGCACTCAAAAAGTTTCAGAATTTGGAGCATTTGGGATTTCAGATTTTTGGATCAGAGACATTCAACCTATAGTTGCACATCATGTATCTCATAAGAAGTGAATATTCAGAATACGTAAAGTACTCCTACGGAGAGACTACCAGAAGCAAAGAGGAGCAAACACATTTTCACACTAGGGCACCTCCTATCTCTCCCGGATTCCAATTAGGGCAGAGTAAGTGCTAGTTCTCTGCCAACCCAGGATTAGGCCCTGCAGCTGCAGTGAAAATAATCACAGAAGAAAACTAAGAACTAAAAAATGGAGAAAGTGAGACATGAATCTAAAATTACTAGAAACCCCCAGGAAGAAGGAAAAAGAAACCAAGAAAACAGAAAAACAATTAAACCAGTTAATTAAACCTTGGCATGACCAGAAGATCAGAGTTTCCTAAAGGAGTGGAAATCTATTGATTTGAAGAGGATTTATTGATTACTGATTTGAAGAGGAAGAAAAACCATGAGTGGTCTAAAGCAAAAGCCTAGTGTCTGAAGAAGTCAGTAGGGTGAAAACAAGAGCTGGCCAGAATATCCACAGATGGTGACAAGTTGGCAAAGCCTTTACTAGACTACTCGTGAGGCTAACTAGAGGCCAAGGAGCCAACACTGCCCCTGTCCTTACAGAGAGACCCTACACAGGATTCCCAGATATACATGGAAGGACAACATCTTATCAGGTCCTCTCTGTGCAGATGTGGTTATCATTCCAAAAAATGAGCTCCAGCCCCAAGACTGTTCCATCCTCAATTGCTTTGAGTGGGCAATGTAGGCTCTCCACACACGAGCTACATGTAGGTTCCTTGGGTACCCAGATGGGAGCCATGAAACACAAACCCTCCATGGTCAGGTCTGTATTTGTTTCCTGCCTTTTCCCCGGCAATCCCCAGGCCCCAGCAGTGGTGGTCTACCTCTGCTGATTCTCATTCAGAATCTAAACTTAGAAACAATTAGAACCTAGACCCCAATTCTACCTGAAAGTAACAGAATAACATAATCTATACCCTGCAGCATGACTGTTTGCCCAACGTAATGAGGATGAACTGAGAGATAATGAATGATCATGACCCTGGCCCAAGTAAGGAGAATGAACTGTGAGATAAATGAATGATCATGACAAAAAAACCCCACTACAACCCAACAACAAAATAAAGTGATTAAAAAAATGGACAAACAATATTTATCCAAAGATGCAAAGATGATATACAAATAGCCAACAGATACATGAGATATATGAGAAGATGTGTAACATCACTAGTCATTAGAGAAATGCAAAAAGAAACCACAATGCGACATCACTTCAAACCCAACAGAAAGTAACAAGCGCAGGTGAAACTGAAACCTTTGAACACTGTTGGTGGAAATATGAACTGGCTCCTCAAAAAAAATAAAATAAAATGACCATATGATCCAGCCATCCAACTACTACAGAGACAGAATAACTAGTAGCAGGACCTCAAACAGATATGTGCACCCCTATGTTCACAGCAGCATTACACAGCCACAAGGTGGAAGAAACCAAACGTCCGTCCAGGAATAGATGGATAAACAAAAGCATATATATATATGATATATACTATATACATATATTTTATATATAATATATAATATATGTATATAATATATATGTAATATATATATAATATATATGAAGAAATATTATTCAGCCATAGAAAGGAAGAAAATCCTGACACATCTGACACATAACATGGAACCTACTTACAAAACAACAAATATTATATAACCCTAGGTATATAAGCCAAATTTTTAGAAACACAAAGTAGAATAGTACTTGCCAGGAGGTGGAAGGAGGGGGAAATTAATAGTTGTTGAATGGGTATAGAGTTTTCCAAGATAAAAAAAATCTAGAAATCTGCTACACAACACTGTAAATATTCTTAACTCTACAAAACTGTACACTTACAATTGGTTATGATGGTAAATTTTAAGGTATGTGTTTGTTACCAAAATTCTAAATAATAAATTATTTATAAAAAATGATCTTTTTTGACACAGGGTCTTACTCTGTTGCCCTGGCAGGAGTGCAATGGCATGATCACAGCTCATTGCAGTCTCAACCTCCCAGGCTCAAGAAACCCTTCCACCTCAGCCTCCCGAATAGTTGGGACTACAGGTGCACACCAAGATGTCAGGCTAAATTTTGGTTTGGTTTTTTTGTAGAGAGGGTTTTGCCATGATGCCAGGCTGGTCTCAACCTCCTGGGCTCAAGCAATCCACCTCCCTTGGCCTCCCACAGAGCTGAGATTATGAGCATAAGCCACCATGCCCAGCCTATAAAAAATTATTTCAAAAAGCCAAAAGATTAATCAAACTGGAATATTTAGAAATATTTAACCCAAAAGAAGTTAGGAAAGAATATATATAAGATCAAAACACAGACGAAGGCCAGACATGGTGGCTCATGCCTGTAATCTGAACACTTTGGGAGGCCAATGTGGGTAGATTGCTTGAGCTCAGGAGTTCAAGACCAGCCTGTGCAACATGGCAAAACCCTATCTCTACAAAAAATATAAAAATTAGCCAGGTGTGTTTCCATGCGCCTGTAGTCCCAGCTACTCAGTGGGCTCCAGTGAGTATAGGTTGGGCCTGGGAGGCAGAGGTTGCAGTGAGCCAACATTGCACCATTGCACTACACTCTCGGTGACAGAGCAAGACCCTGTCTTAAAAAAAAAATAAACAAACAAATAGAAAATAAGTAGAAAAATGGCAGACCTAAATCCAACCTTAGCAATGATTAGTTACAATGTAACTGGACAAATACTCTACTTAAGACAGAGACTGCCAGACCTGAGAGGAAAGCAAGACCCAACAATATGGCATCCACAGAGACACAATTTAAATACAAAGACACAAAGTATGAGAAAAAATATGCTATGCAGACACTAATCATAAAAATATGCTATCCAGACACTAATCATAAAAAGCTTCAACGGAGATGTTAACACTAGATGAAAGAGGCTTCAGAACAAAATATATCACCAGAAATAAACAAGGTAATTTCATAAAAATAAAAGAATCAGAGAGGATGATATTACAATTATAAATTGTGCCTCAAAGTGCACACAAAGTACACACACACACAGAGCCTCAAAATATGTGAATCAAAAACAACAGAACAAAAGCAGGAATTGACAATCCAAAATTATAGCTGGTGAATTAATACTGCTCTCTCAATAACTGATGGAACAACCAGATAAAAATATAGGAAAAATACGGATCTAAATGACAAAATCCTGACCCAAATGGTACTTGGCAGTACCAAGATAGACTGTATGTCGATCAATTGAGAAAAGGTTCAAGCCTGAAATAGTATACAAAGTATGTTGTCTGAACACGTGAAATTAAATTAGAAACCAACAACAAATTGATATCCAGAAAAGCCTCAAATGTCTGAAAACCAAGTAATAAACTTTGAAATACCCTGTGAGTCAAAAAAGTATTCACAAGGGGAACTGGAATGTATTTGGAACAAACTTGTTATAAAAATCATATTTCTGGTAGACTAAAGGTGACAACTTCTTTCCTGCTCCTCTCTCTGTGAGAACCAATTCCCCTTATACCTTGCCCAGACTACTGATTTGTTTGGCCAACAGAAGGTGACAAAGGTGGTATTTGGGGACTTCAGAAGCCAGGCTGAGAAAACAGAACACTTATCCAGGAGAAAGCCAGTCACCAGGCAGGAAATCCCACTCCCCTGAGACCCCATGATGGAAACCACACGGCCAGTCCATGACTAGCTACACGCATTGCATTGACATCCCCCACTGACCCTCCAGCAACACCGACTCCCAACCACTAGTGATCCTCCAGCAACATCCACTCCGAACCACTAGTGAGCCACCCTGCACACCACCCCGCTGTGCTTTCACACAATCCAGCTTGGCTGCAACTGTGTGTGAGATGAGCTGGCCACCAAGACTCTCTAAGCCAAAAAACAAGTAATAATGAGTTGTTTTAAGCTGCCAAGTTTTGGGGATGGTTTCTTCAGAATAGATAACTGGAACAGAATATGGTAGCTGGAAATGAGCCGCTGTGGTAATCAGAAGCTAAAATATTTGCCACGACTGTGAGGCTGATATGTAACTGGGCCTCAAGGAGACCATTCATGCAACCTGGAAGGGCATCAAGAATCTTGGTCAGGGCCTGAAGGACGGTGAGAAAATGTCATTGGAAACTGGAGAAAAGGCCTGAGAGTTACGTGCTGAGGGACTGTGGGAAAACTACGACCACAACATGGAAACTGAAAGGGCACTGCACCATCTCAGGGATCTGCCTAAGGAGACATCTGGGAAGAACATGGAAAGTGCTACCAGCCTCCCCTAACTGTCAATGAATAAATATGACAGGAGAGGGACATGATCTAAAGAAGGAAGTTCAGTTTTCAAACAAAATTTACAGAAAATATAAAGAAATAATTTCTTGTCTCAAAAGGCCAAAGAAAAAAAAAGAAAAAAATTAAAAAGAAGCCATTGAATACCCTATTGACTATAAGAAAAACGCAGAGAAAGTTGGTCAACGGCAACCCAGGCACTGAAGGAAAAAGAACATGGAGAATGACAAAAGCCCAGAGGGAGGAGTAAAAGGACACAAACGCTGTTCTCAGGGACAAGGACTGGGCGCCGTTCTCAGGGACCCGGACTGGGCACTAATCACAGAACTGTAACAGGCGCCCCATGGGAATGACCAACTGTTAGACGGGGCCTGCAGGGCAGCATCTCCCTCCTGCCTCCCACCAACAGCTTCTAAAGGGAAATGCCGACTGTTTTCACACCTGTCCCCTCACTGCGGCTGACTGTGTGGGCTCAGATGGTAGGTCACAACAACCTGATTCAGTCCTCACTGTGGCTGAGTGCGTCAGGGGCAGATGACAGGCCACCACAACTTGATTCAGTCCTCACTGCGGCTGAGTGTGTGGGCTCAGATGATAGGTCACAACAACCTGATTCAGTCCTCACTGTGGCTGAGTGCATCAGGGGCAGATGATAGGCCACCACAACCTGATTCAGGATTCAGTTGGGCTACCAGCCAGTGCCATAAGGAAAACCATTTTGGGACTCTTGAGAGGGGCAAAGCATAATTTGCATGTGGGAGAAACGTTAATAGTTTGTGGACAGAGGACAACCTGTGGTTTATTAAAGACTGCTGCAGGTTCCTACTATGCTTCTCATCAAGAGGTGGAATCTAATCACCTTCCGCCCTTGAATCATGGCTTGTCTCAGTGATGAGTATGACTGGACAGTGTGGCAGGAGAGATGCTCTGGGATTTCTGAGGGATGATCATGAGAGAACTTACAGCTTCTGCCTGGGCCTCTTGGACACACGCCCTAGGAGAAGCCAGACAAACCTGACTACCTGACTGCCAGACTGGGAGGAAGTCCGTGCTGGCCACAAAGAGAGGGCTGGGTGCCTGCTCCATGTCCCCAGCCAATAGAGTCCTTCTGGGTCCCTGCTTCAAGTCCCCAGCCACTAGAGTCTTTCCAGATGAGACCAGGGACATCACGAAGCAACCAACCCACACCGCCCTGTCCAGTGTCTTGACCCAGAAAATTGACATGTAAAAAGAATAAATTCCTGGTTTAAGCCAGTAAGGTTACGGGTACATTGTTACATCTCAGATAATTAAAACCTTGAAAAACTCATGAGAGATCACAAGTAGAACCTTGATCTGAAACATGGCATGTGGCGATTTATATTGAGTATTATGTTAACAATGCAAGAATGGAGCATAGTTAATATTTTACTTTAAAGCTAAAACTATAATTGCCTACTTAAAATTTTCAGTTAATTAGGTTGTCACTTTTTGTTCTTAACCAGTAAATCAACTAGTTTTAGTCCATAAACAGTTACAACTGATGCACACATCCGTTTTTCCTTACTCATTTTAAGCAGCTATCTGAAACAGGAAGTGTAATATAATCTTTAAAGAATCTGAAAATATGACAGAAATGTTTAAACTATAAACATATATTGTAAATGTTAGCATATTGTATACATTGCATATTAATATAAGCTAGAATCATTGACAAGATAGAGTCCCCACATTCATCAATAATATACCACATGTTCTTACTGCCATCACGCAGCATCTCACCCCCAGCTCTCGGGGGGTCTCCTGTGTCTCCAAGCTACTCTCCAAGCAACCCCAGATTTCAGCTGGAGTCAGCCCCCCACACCCAGGAATCACCTACAAACTCACGAGCCTCACGCTGCTCCACCCCTGTGTCTTGCATCTCTTCACCCCCAGGCCTCAGGGACCCTCCTGTGGCTCCCAGTTACTCTCCAGCCATCCCCAGGTTCCTGCGGGAGTCAGCCCCATGCACCCAGGAGTCCCCCAGAGACTCACAGGTCTCGGGAGAATATGAGCGGTCCCCCAGCCCTGACTCCTCAAGATTCATGCCTGCCTCACCCAGCTTCTCCCTCTCCCCTCCCAGAAACTCAGACCCAAGGGGCAGCTCCTCACCAGGGATGTGGAAGTCCTCTACATCATCCCGCAGGGCTTCACCACTCTCACATCCATCATCAACAGAATTCCACAACTTTACGTTTCCCTTTCCTAACCAAGCAGGACAGTCACTCATGTCATTGTGTTCTCCCGTGTCCTCCTCTGGAGATTCTTCACAGTCACCTCATTCATCAATAATGTACCATATGTTCTTACTGCCATCATCCAGCAGCTCACCCCCAGCCACCCATGACTCTCCTGTCTGTCCCAGCTACTCTCCAACTACGCCCAGATTTCAGCGGGAGTCTGTACCCCACACCCCAGAAACACCTACAAACTCACAGACCTCAGTGAGATCCTCGCCAGTCTCTCTCACGTCTTCACCCCCAGCCCTTACGGACCCTCCAGTCTGTCCCAGCTACTCTCCAACCACGCCCACATTTCAGCGCGGGTCAGTTCCAGGAACCCTGGGATCACCACCAAGCCCACCACTTTCACTGAGTTACTCCCCAGTCTCCAGCACGTCTTTATCTCCAACCCTCAGGGACTCGCCTGTCTGTCCCAGCTACTCTCCAAGCACGCCCACACTTCAGCGGGAGTCCGTTGCAGGCACCCAGAAATCACCACCAAACTCACCAATTTCACTGCGTTACTCCCCAGTCTCTCTCATGTCTTCACCATCCCTCAGGGACTCTCCCGTCTGTCCCAGCTACTCTCCAACCACGCCCACATTTCAGCTGGAGTCCGTTCCAGGCACCCCGGAATCACCACCAAACTCACCAATTTCACTCAGTTACTCCTCAGTCTCTAGCACGTCTTTATCTCCAACCCTCAGGGACTCTCCTGTGTGTCCCAGCTACTCTCCAACCACGCCCACACTTCAGCGGGAGTCAGTTCCAGGCACCCAGGAATCACCACCAAACTCACCAATTTCACTCAATTACTCTCCAGTCTCTCTCATGTCTTCACCAGTCCTCAGGGACTCTCCTGTCTGTCCCAGCTACTCTCCAACCACGCCCACATTTCAGCTGGAGTCAGTTCCAGGCACCCCGGAGTCACCACCAAACTCACCAGTTTCACTCAGTTACTCCCCGGTCTCGCTCATGTCTTCACCCCCAGCCCTCAGGGACTCTCCTGTGTGTCCCAGCTACTCTCCAACCATGCCCAGATTTCAGCGGGGGTCAGTTCCAGGCACCCAGTTATCACCAACCAACTCAGCAATTTCACTGAGTTACTCCCCAGTCTCTCTCACGTCTTCACCCCCAGCCCCCTGGGACTCTCCTGTCTGTCCCAGCTACTCTCCCACCACGCCCAGATTTCAGCGGGAGTCAGCCTCCCACACTCCGGAATCACCTACAGACTCACAGTCTTCACTGAGGTCCTCCCTGGTCTGTCTCAGGTCTTTGCCCTCAGCCCACAGGGACTCTTGTGTCTCCTTCAGCTACTCTCAAAACTTCTCTAGATTCCAGCTGGAGTCAGTTCCAGGCACCCACGATACACCACCGAACTCACGAATTTCACTGACTTACTCCCCCGTCTCCCTCATGTTCTCACCCCCAGCCCTCAGGGACTCTTCTGTCTCTCTCAGCTACTCTCCAACCATCTCCAGATTTCACCTGGAGTCAGCTTCCCGCACCCAGGAATCACCTACAAACTCACGGACCTTACTGAAACCCTCCCCCATTTCTTTCACCTCTTCACCCCCTGCCTTCAGGGACTCTCCTGGGTCTCCCAGCTTCTCTCCAGCCTTCCCCAGATTTCTGCCACAGTCAGCCCCAGGCACCCAGGACAACCCTAGACACTCACAGGCCTCACGAGACTATCTCCCTATGACCTGTACCTATACAGGAATGGCTCCCACGCATACCTCAGTGACCCCAAACCCATCTCCACTTACACTCAGGCACTCCCAGGGCCTGACAGCTACTCCCCGTTATCGTCCTTCAGTTCGAAGCCCTGGCCAATCTACTAGCCCACATGACGCAGTTACCTGGCCATTTCTCCACGGTTCCCGTGAGGGCCCCACACCCAGCCGCACAAGAACCCCTCCTGCATTCCGTCCTCACACGCAGGCCTGTCCATCTACTTGCTACTGTCACACTCTTGCCAGCAGAAGAGGCCCCTGTAATGGCCGATATCACCACCCAGTCTATCCTCACCCCACAGCTGTGCAGCGGGAACCTCCTGCTGGCCCACGTGGTTGCCACAGCCCATGCTGGCACGACGCTCCAGCAGGTCGGCGTCCCTGCGGGCCACACTACCGGTGACATGGCTAGCATGACCCTCCTTCCTGGCAGTGACACTGTTGATGTGAACCCCAGTTTCAAATCTGTCATTTATAAATGGGACCATTTTCCCTTTTCGCTCTCCCTTCCATTCACAGGGCTTTTCATTCTCTCTGTTTCTGCCTCCGTTTCAGATATTTACTCACCTTTTTCTCTCTCACTATGTCTGCCGTGGTCTCCATGAGACTGCGCCACATAACATTCCCCCATTAAAGGTCATGAATTCAGTGGCTTTTAGTATACCTGTGGTTGTGCACATTCAATTTTAATTCGCAATCCATTGTAAAACGTCTTATCACCCCCGACCAGAGAAAAACGCTGTAGACATTAGTCACTCCTCCTTCTGTCTCAAACCCTCTCCCTGACCCTCAGCCCTAGGTAGCAACTACCTAGTGCGATCAATCCCATATGCATAGATTTCCATATTGTGGACATTTCCTATAAACGGAATTGCACAATAGGTGAGCTGCTATGACTGACATAACACGTAGCACAATATTTTCAAGATTCATCCACATTGTAGGCTTACCCACAGGGGGAAACCATTTTTTGGGGGGTTTTAGTAACACCGGTGTTCTCTCCTTCCTTTAGTCCTTCTTTCCTTCCTTCCTTCCTTCCTTCCTTCCTTCTTTCCGTCCTACCTTCCTTCTTTCCTTCCTTCCTTCCTTCCTTCCTTCCTTCCTTCCTTCCTTCCTTCCTTCCTCCTGTTTCTGTCTTACTCCTTCTGCCCTCTCTCTTTCATATGCCTTAGGTGCATCCCACATTCTGCGTTTTTTGGGGGAAATCCTCGACAGGTGCAGAAAAATTGTGTTATTGTAACTATTTACCGCTCTCTCTCTTTCACGGCTCTCCATCACTTGTGAACATCTATTGGTTTATCCCAAGTCACTAAGCATATTTTTATTAAGTACACCTGTTTTTCCTTATACAGCTGCTTCTGGAGTATAGGGTCGCATACACATAAACCCAGTGTAACTCAGAAACGAATCTAATATTCCATTAAACCCATCATAACGTTGAAAAATCATAAATCAAACCATCATAAGTCACGGTTTGTCTGTGGATATGGGCGTCATCAATTCCGTTGTATTCAGTAATGCCGTACACCATTAACAATGGCAGACTGATTGGGAGTTGATATTGATAGCATTATAAAAGTCAGTTATTAGAGGGATACTTCTTTAACCTGACTGAAGAACTGATCTGATGGCTTTAGTACAGTGCATGATTACGTGAGATGTTTTGAGACAGAGTAGTACATTTGTGAATGAAATTTTATGGCTTTTTTTTCACTTAGTAGGAACCATTGTGTGTGGAAAAGTGAGAAAATTGCTTTCTGCTGTAGGGTCTGGCATTCATTGTAGATTTAAGCTTATTTTTCTGTGAGCAAATCTTATTCAATAAAATACTACTCTTTATACTAAAAAACAAAAACAGTGGTGATGTGTGGTCATTATCGTCAGCAAACTAATCCAGGGAAAGAAAACCAAACGCCACCTTCTCACTTATAATGGGAGCTGAAAAGTGAGATCCCATGGACACAGGAAGGGGAACAACACACACTGGGGCCTTTCGGGAGGCAGAGCGTTAAGAAAAACAGCTACTGCATGCTGGGCTTAATACCTAGGTGACTGGTTGACAGGTGCAGCAAACCACCATGGCACACGTTTACCTTAGTAACAAACCTGCACATCCTGCACATATACCCCAGAACTTAGAAACGAAACGAAACAAAAGAAAATGAAAAAGCAATAGCAAAACGCTAAAGGCAAAATAAAGTTTCAAACTCAGAAAGTGACAGACCAACTTTTGGTTCAAACCCAGGTGCCATAAGGTCAGGATAAAGAATTTGATGACATATTGTAAAGAAGACATGCAGTAAATGACCAGAAAGATTATTCTCCACATATGTGTGTCTTCTAATTCAATGGTGACGCTATCTACCGGGACATAGCATTAGATTCCAAAGGGCCGAGTCCCGCCAGACAGGCCTCCCACACCAATAACAATGGGAAGCCCTACGTTGTTTTAGCGGTGCTTCTCAGCAACTGGCTATGAATCAGGTTGCCACCACTCCCAGATTTATTTGCATTCATTTGCTGGAAGAGCTCACAGCACGCAGGGAAACACTTACATTTGCCGTTGTATTTTAGCGGGCATTGCACAAAGTTCAGAAATAAATGTGGGGCCCGGCATGCGGGGAGGGGTGCACTACCTTCCAGGAAGTGTTATCCAGAAGCTCTCTGAACCCAGTCCTTTTGGGTTTTGATGGAGACCTCATTCTATAGGCATGATGGGTTAAACCATAGGCTATTGGTGATCAACTCCACCTGAGGCTCTCCACCCTCCCTGGAAATTGGGGCTGAGGCTTTGCCATTCTCAGTCTGACTAAAAGAATTTACCCAAACGGAATTTTAAAACAGATGAGCATAACTGGAATCTTAATTAGATGATTGGATTATCTGGAGAAACACCTTGATATTCCTAACCCGAGCACCCTCATCCAACGAATGCTCCACCCAACTGGCTCCCAAGTCTCTACGTGGTTCCAGAGCAAAAGAATGTTTATACAACGCATATCTCCACCTTTTCTTCAAAGTCTTTTTGCTTACACGGAAAGACTTCTTCAACTGCCATGCATCAGGGTCAGGGGGAGGTCTTGTTACAACACAGATCTGCGGATCTCCGGGGTTTGATTGTGGCAAGGATGCTGCTGGTGTCAAAACCACAACGTGGGAAGCACAGAACCACTAGTTGGTTTTCAGTGTTTCAGTGCATACAATTCCTAATAAATCTGGCCAAGAAAACCTGTAAGTTCTTAGATTGTCCCAAAGGTGGCGCATGAAATCAAAGCAGGAGAACAGTTTCCTACGAGGTGTAGCCTGGGAAAGTTGGGGGTGACTGATGGAAAGGAGGAGTGAAGCTCCGCCCTTTCCGCTGCTAGGCTGCGCCCGAGGCTATTTAAACCCACCCTGGCTGGCCTGTACTCAGATCTTCGCGGAGCGGATCAGCGGCCGGAGCGTTTGGCGGACTCTGCGTGGACTTGGAGCTCACAGCGTCTTGCGACTTGAAAGCGGATTCAGAGGACAGGACAGAACACTTGGGCAAGTGAATCTCTGTCTGTCTGTCTGTCTGTCTGTCCCATTGGTTGGTTGATTTCCATTTCCTTAAGGGGCACATAGCTCACACCGCACACACACAAACACACACACACACACACACACGCACACGCACACACGCACACACACTCCTTCCTTCTGCGAGTTAGAACATCAGTAGGGGCCCCTGGGAGCTGCAGGTTTCCTAATCATGTCTGCACCTAAGAACAGTAGGGTCTTGTCTGGCTCTTCTTATGAACGGTCCCCCAGCACGGACACCCCAAGGTCCATGCGAGCCTCACCCAGCTTCTCCCTCTCCCCTCTCAGAAACTCAGGCTTAAGGGGAAGCTCCTCACCAGGGATCCGAAACTGCCATTCACCATCCCCTAGGGCTTCACCACACTCACCTCTGTCATCACCAGAATCCCACAAGCTCCCATTTCCCTGTCCTCACCTTGATGGGAAATCAATGAAGCCATTGGGCTCTGCCGTGTCCTCCTCTGAGGACTCCTCAGAGTCCCCACGTTCATCAATAATATACCACATGTTCTTACTGCCATCACCCAGCAGCTCATCCCCAGCTCTCGGGGGGTCTCCTGTGTCTCCCAGCTACTCTCCAAACAACCCCAGATTTCAGCTGGAGTCAGCCCCCCACACCCAGGAATCACCTACAAACTCACGAGCCTCACGTTGCTCCACCCCTGTGTCTTGCATCTCTTCACCCCCAGGCCTCAGGGACCCTCCTGTGGCTCCCAGTTACTCTCCAGCCAACCCCAGGTTCCTGCGGGAGTCAGCCCCATGCACCCAGGAGTCCCCCAGAGACTCACAGGTCTCGGGAGAATATGAGCGGTCCCCCAGCCCTGACTCCTCAAGATTCATGCCTGCCTCACCCAGCTTCTCCCTCTCCCCTCCCAGAAACTCAGACCCAAGGGGCAGCTCCTCACCAGGGATGTGGAAGTCCTCTACATCATCCCGCAGGGCTTCACCACTCTCACATCCATCATCAACAGAATTCCACAACTTTACGTTTCCCTTTCCTAACCAAGCAGGACAGTCACTCATGTCATTGTGTTCTCCCGTGTCCTCCTCTGGAGATTCTTCACAGTCACCTCATTCATCAATAATGTACCATATGTTCTTACTGCCATCATCCAGCAGCTCACCCCCAGCCACCCATGACTCTCCTGTCTGTCCCAGCTACGCTCCAACTACGCCCAGATTTCAGCGGGAGTCTGTACCCCACACCCCAGAAACACCTACAAACTCACAGACCTCAGTGAGATCCTCGCCAGTCTCTCTCACGTCTTCACCCCCAGCCCTTACGGACCCTCCAGTCTGTCCCAGCTACTCTCCAACCACGCCCACATTTCAGCGCGGGTCAGTTCCAGGAACCCTGGGATCACCACCAAGCCCACCACTTTCACTGAGTTACTCCCCAGTCTCCAGCACGTCTTTATCTCCAACCCTCAGGGACTCGCCTGTCTGTCCCAGCTACTCTCCAAGCACGCCCACACTTCAGCGGGAGTCCGTTGCAGGCACCCAGAAATCACCACCAAACTCACCAATTTCACTGCGTTACTCCCCAGTCTCTCTCATGTCTTCACCATCCCTCAGGGACTCTCCCGTCTGTCCCAGCTACTCTCCAACCACGCCCACATTTCAGCTGGAGTCCGTTCCAGGCACCCCGGAATCACCACCAAACTCACCAATTTCACTCAGTTACTCCTCAGTCTCTAGCACGTCTTTATCTCCAACCCTCAGGGACTCTCCTGTGTGTCCCAGCTACTCTCCAACCACGCCCACACTTCAGCGGGAGTCAGTTCCAGGCACCCAGGAATCACCACCAAACTCACCAATTTCACTCAATTACTCTCCAGTCTCTCTCATGACTTCACCAGTCCTCAGGGACTCTCCTGTCTGTCCCAGCTACTCTCCAACCACGCCCACATTTCAGCTGGAGTCAGTTCCAGGCACCCCGGAGTCACCACCAAACTCACCAGTTTCACTCAGTTACTCCCCGGTCTCGCTCATGTCTTCACCCCCAGCCCTCAGGGACTCTCCTGTGTGTCCCAGCTACTCTCCAACCATGCCCAGATTTCAGCGGGGGTCAGTTCCAGGCACCCAGGTATCACCAACCAACTCAGCAATTTCACTGAGTTACTCCCCAGTCTCTCTCATGTCTTCATCCCCAGCCCCCTGGGACTCTCCTGTCTGTCCCAGCTACTCTCCCACCACGCCCAGATTTCAGCGGGAGTCAGCCTCCCACACTCCGGAATCACCTACAGACTCACAGTCTTCACTGAGGTCCTCCCTGGTCTCTCTCAGGTCTTTGCCCTCAGCCCACAGGGACTCTTGTGTCTCCTTCAGCTACTCTCAAAACTTCTCTAGATTCCAGCTGGAGTCAGTTCCAGGCACCCACGATACACCACCGAACTCACGAATTTCACTGACTTACTCCCCCGTCTCCCTCATGTTCTCACCCCCAGCCCTCAGGGACTCTTCTGTCTCTCTCAGCTACTCTCCAACCATCTCCAGATTTCACCTGGAGTCAGCTTCCCGCACCCAGGAATCACCTACAAACTCACGGACCTTACTGCAACCCTCCCCCATTTCTTTCACCTCTTCACCCCCTGCCTTCAGGGACTCTCCTGGGTCTCCCAGCTTCTCTCCAGCCTTCCCCAGATTTCTGCCACAGTCAGCCCCAGGCACCCAGGACAACCCTAGACACTCACAGGCCTCACGAGACTATCTCCCTATGACCTGTACCTATACAGGAATGGCTCCCACGCATACCTCAGTGACCCCAAACCCATCTCCACTTACACTCAGGCACTCCCAGGGTCTGACAGCTACTCCCCGTTATCGTCCTTCAGTTCGAAGCCCTGGCCAATCTACTAGCCCACATGACGCAGTTACCTGGCCATTTCTCCACGGTTCCCGTGAGGGCCCCACACCCAGCCGCACAAGAACCCCTCCTGCATTCCGTCCTCACACGCAGGCCTGTCCATCTACTTGCTACTGTCACACTCTTGCCAGCAGAAGAGGCACCTGTAATGGCCGATATCACCAACCAGTCTATCCTCACCCCACAGCTGTGCAGCGGGAACCTCCTGCTGGCCCACGTGGTTGCCACAGCCCATGCTGGCACGACGCTCCAGCAGGTCGGCGTCCCTGCGGGCCACACTACCGGTGACATGGCTAGCATGACCCTCCTCCCTGGCAGTGACACTGTTGATGTGAACCCCAGTTTCACATCTGTCATTTGTCAATGGGACCATTTTCCCTTTTCGCTCTCCCTTCCATTCACAGGGCTTTTCATTCTCTCTGTTTCTGCCTCCGTTTCAGATATTTACTCACCTTTTTCTCTCTCACTATGTCTGCCGTGGTCTCCATGAGACTGCGCCACATAACATTCCCCCATTAAAGGTCATGAATTCAGTGGCTTTTAGTATACCTGTGGTTGTGCACATTCAATTTTAATTCGCAATCCATTGTAAAACGTCTTATCACCCCCGACCAGAGAAAAACGCTGTAGACATTAGTCACTCCTCCTTCTGTCTCAAACCCTCTCCCTGACCCTCAGCCCTAGGTAGCAACTACCTAGTGCGATCAATCCCATATGCATAGATTTCCATATTGTGGACATTTCCTATAAACGGAATTGCACAATAGGTGAGCTGCTATGACTGACATAACACGTAGCACAATATTTTCAAGATTCATCCACATTGTAGGCTTACCCACAGGGGGAAACCATTTTTTGGGGGGTTTTAGTAACACCGGTGTTCTCTCCTTCCTTTAGTCCTTCTTTCCTTCCTTCCTTCCTTCCTTCCTTCCTTCCTTCCTTCCTTCCTTCCTTCCGTCCTTCCTTCCTTCTTTCCTTCCTTCCTTTCTTCCTTGCTTCCTTCCTTCCTTCCTTCCTCCTATTTCTCTCTTACTCCTTCTGCCCTCTCTCTTTCATATGCCTTAGGTGCATCCCACATTCTGCGTTTTTTTGGGGAAATCCTCGACAGGTGCAGGAAAATTGTGTTATTGTAACTATTTACCGCTATCTCTCTTTCACGGCTCTCCATCACTTGTGAACATCTATTGGTTTATCCCAAGTCACTAAGCATATTTTTATTAGGTACTCCTGTTTTTCCTTATACAGCTGTTTCTGGAGTGTAGGGTCGCATACTCATAAACCCAGTGTAACTCAGAAACGAATCTAATATTCCAATAAACCCATCATAACGTTGAAAAATCATAAGTGAAACCATCATAAGTCACGGTTTGTCTGTGGATATGGGCGTCATCAATTCCGTTGTATTCAGTAATGCTGTACACCATTAACAATGGCAGACTGATTGGGAGTGGATATTGATAGCATTATAAAAGTCAGTTATTAGAGGGATACTTCTTTAACCTGACTGAAGAACTGATCTGATGGCTTTAGTACAGTGCATGATTACGTGAGATGTTTTGAGACAGAGTAGTACATTTGTGAATGAAATTTTATGGCTTTTTTTTCACTTAGTAGGAACCATTGTGTGTGGAAAAGTGAGAAAATTGCTTTCTGCTGTAGGGTCTGGCATTCATTGTAGATTTAAGCTTATTTTTCTGTGAGCAAATCTTATTCAATAAAATACTACTCTTTATACTAAAAAACAAAAACAGTGGTGATGTGTGGTCATTATCGTCAGCAAACTAATCCAGGGAAAGAAAACCAAACGCCACCTTCTCACTTATAATGGGAGCTGAAAAGTGAGATCCCATGGACACAGGAAGGGGAACAACACACACTGGGGCCTTTCGGGAGGCAGAGCGTTAAGAAAAACAGCTACTGCATGCTGGGCTTAATACCTAGGTGACGGGTTGACAGGTGCAGCAAACCACCATGGCACACGTTTACCTTAGTAACAAATCTGCACATCCTGCACATATACCCCAGAACTTAGAAACGAAACGAAACAAAAGAAAATGAAAAAGCAATAGCAAAACGCTAAAGGCAAAATAAAGTTTCAAACTCAGAAAGTGACAGACCAATGTTTGGTTCAAATCATGGTCCTAAACTCAGGTGCCATAAGGTCAGGATAAAGAATTTGATTACATATTGTAAATATGACATGCAGTAAATGACCAGAAAGATTATTCTCCACATATGTGTGTCTTCTAATTCAATGGTGACGCTATCTACCGGGACATAGCATTAGATTCCAAAGGGCCGAGTCCCGCCAGACAGGCCTCCCACACCAATAACAATGGGAAGCCCTACGTTGTTTTACCTGTGCTTCTCAGCAACTGGCTATAAATCAGGTTGCCACCACTCCCAGATTTAGTTGCATTCATTTGCTGGAAGAGCTCACAGCACGCAGGGAAACACTTACATTTGCCGTTGTATTTTAGCGGACATTGCACAAAGTTCAGAAATAAATGTGGGGCCCGGCATGCGGGGAGGGGTGCACTACCTTCCAGGAAGTGTTATCCAGAAGCTCTCTGAACCCAGTCCTTTTGGGTTTTGATGGAGACCTCATTCTATATGCATGATGGGTTAAACCATAGGCTATTGGTGATCAACTCCACCTGAGGCTCTCCACCCTCCCTGGAAATTGGGGTTGAGGCTTTGCCATTCTCAGTCTGACTAAAAGAATTTACCCAAACGGAATTTTAAAACAGATGAGCATAACTGGAATCTTAATTAGATGATTGCATTATCTGGAGCCACACCTTGATATTCCTAACCCGAGCACCCTCATCCAACGAATGCTCCACCCAACTGGCTCCCAAGTCTCTACGTGGTTCCAGAGCCAAAGAATGTTTATACTACGCATATCTCCACCTTTTCTTCAAAGTCTTTTCGCTTACACGGAAAGACTTCTTCAACTGCCATGCATCAGGGTCAGGGGGAGGTCTTGTTACAACACAGATCTGCGGATCTCCGGGATTTGATTGTGGCAAGGATGCTGCTGGTGTCAAAACCACAACGTGGGAAGCACAGAACCACTAGTTGGTTTTCAGTGTTTCAGTGCATACAATTCCTAATAAATCTGGCCAAGAAAACCTGTAAGTTCTTAGATTGTCCCAAAGGTGGCGCATGAAATCAAAGCAGGAGAACAGTTTCCTACGAGGTGTAGCCTGGGAAAGTTGGGGGTGACTGATGGAAAGGAGGAGTGAAGCTCCGCCCTTTCCGCTGCTAGGCTGCGCCCGAGGCTATTTAAACCCACCCTGGCTGGCCTGTACTCAGATCTTCGCGGAGCGGATCAGCGGCCGGAGCGTTTGGCGGACTCTGCGTGGACTTGGAGCTCACAGCGTCTTGCGACTTGAAAGCGGATTCAGAGGACAGGACAGAACACTTGGGCAAGTGAATCTCTGTCTGTCTGTCTGTCTGTCTGTCCCATTGGTTGGTTGATTTCCATTTCCTTAAGGGGCCCATACCTCACACCGCACACACACAAACACACACACACACACACACGCACACGCACACACGCACACACACTCCTTCCTTCTGCGAGTTAGAACATTAGTGGGGGCCCCTGGGAGCTGCAGGTTTCCTAATCATGTCTGCACCTAAGAACAGTAGGGTCTTGTCTGGCTCTTCTTATGAACGGTCCCCCAGCACGGACACCCCAAGGTCCATGCGAGCCTCACCCAGCTTCTCCCTCTCCCCTCTCAGAAACTCCGGCTTAAGGGGAAGCTCCTCACCAGGGATCCGGAACTACCATTCACCATCCCCTAGGGCTTCACCACACTCACCTCTGTCATCACCAGAATCCCACAAGCTCCCATTTCCCTGTCCTCACCGTGATGGGCAATCAATGAAGCCATTGGGCTCTGCCGTGTCCTCCTCTGAGGACTCCTCAGAGTCCCCACGTTCATCAATAATATACCACATGTTCTTACTGCCATCACCCAGCAGCTCACCCCCAGCTCTCGGGGGTTCTCCTGTGTCTCCCAGCTACTCTCCAAACAACCCCAGATTTCAGCTGGAGTCAGCCCCCCACACCCAGGAATCACCTACAAACTCACGAGCCTCACGCTGCTCCACCCCTGTGTCTTGCATCTCTTCACCCCCAGGCCTCAGGGACCCTCCTGTGGCTCCCAGTTACTCTCCAGCCATCCCCAGGTTCCTGCGGGAGTCAGCCCCATGCACCCAGGAGTCCCCCAGAGACTCACAGGTCTCGGGAGAATATGAGCGGTCCCCCAGCCCTGACTCCTCAAGATTCATGCCTGCCTCACCCAGCTTCTCCCTCTCCCCTCCCAGAAACTCAGACCCAAGGGGCAGCTCCTCACCAGGGATGTGGAAGTCCTCTACATCATCCCGCAGGGCTTCACCACTCTCACATCCATCATCAACAGAATTCCACAACTTTACGTTTCCCTTTCCTAACCAAGCAGGACAGTCACTCATGTCATTGTGTTCTCCCGTGTCCTCCTCTGGAGATTTTTCACAGTCACCTCATTCATCAATAATGTACCATATGTTCTTACTGCCATCATCCAGCAGCTCACCCCCAGCCACCCATGACTCTCCTGTCTGTCCCAGCTACTCTCCAACTACGCCCAGATTTCAGCGGGAGTCTGTACCCCACACCCCAGAAACACCTACAAACTCACAGACCTCAGTGAGATCCTCGCCAGTCTCTCTCACGTCTTCACCCCCAGCCCTTACGGACCCTCCAGTCTGTCCCAGCTACTCTCCAACCACGCCCACATTTCAGCGCGGGTCAGTTCCAGGAACCCTGGGATCACCACCAAGCCCACCACTTTCACTGAGTTACTCCCCAGTCTCCAGCACGTCTTTATCTCCAACCCTCAGGGACTCGCCTGTCTGTCCCAGCTACTCTCCAAGCACGCCCACACTTCAGCGGGAGTCCGTTGCAGGCACCCAGAAATCACCACCAAACTCACCAATTTCACTGCGTTACTCCCCAGTCTCTCTCATGTCTTCACCATCCCTCAGGGACTCTCCCGTCTGTCCCAGCTACTCTCCAACCACGCCCACATTTCAGCTGGAGTCCGTTCCAGGCACCCCGGAATCACCACCAAACTCACCAATTTCACTCAGTTACTCCTCAGTCTCTAGCACGTCTTTATCTCCAACCCTCAGGGACTCTCCTGTGTGTCCCAGCTACTCTCCAACCACGCCCACACTTCAGCGGGAGTCAGTTCCAGGCACCCAGGAATCACCACCAAACTCACCAATTTCACTCAATTACTCTCCAGTCTCTCTCATGTCTTCACCAGTCCTCAGGGACTCTCCTGTCTGTCCCAGCTACTCTCCAACCACGCCCACATTTCAGCTGGAGTCAGTTCCAGGCACCCCGGAGTCACCACCAAACTCACCAGTTTCACTCAGTTACTCCCCGGTCTCGCTCATGTCTTCACCCCCAGCCCTCAGGGACTCTCCTGTGTGTCCCAGCTACTCTCCAACCATGCCCAGATTTCAGCGGGGGTCAGTTCCAGGCACCCAGGTATCACCAACCAACTCAGCAATTTCACTGAGTTACTCCCCAGTCTCTCTCACGTCGTCACCCCGAGCCCCCTGGGACTCTCCTGTCTGTCCCAGCTACTCTCCCACCACGCCCAGATTTCAGCGGGAGTCAGCCTCCCACACTCCGGAATCACCTACAGACTCACAGACTTCACTGAGGTCCTCCCTGGTCTGTCTCAGGTCTTTGCCCTCAGCCCACAGGGACTCTTGTGTCTCCTTCAGCTACTCTCAAAACTTCTCTAGATTCCAGCTGGAGTCAGTTCCAGGCACCCACGATACACCACCGAACTCACGAATTTCACTGACTTACTCCCCCGTCTCCCTCATGTTCTCACCCCCAGCCCTCAGGGACTCTTCTGTCTCTCTCAGCTACTCTCCAACCATCTCCAGATTTCACCTGGAGTCAGCTTCCCGCACCCAGGAATCACCTACAAACTCACGGACCTTACTGCAACCCTCCCCCATTTCTTTCACCTCTTCACCCCCTGCCTTCAGGGACTCTCCTGGGTCTCCCAGCTTCTCTCCAGCCTTCCCCAGATTTCTGCCACAGTCAGCCCCAGGCACCCAGGACAACCCTAGACACTCACAGGCCTCACGAGACTATCTCCCTATGACCTGTACCTATACAGGGATGGCTCCCACGCATCCCTCAGTGACCCCAAACCCATCTCCACTTACACTCAGGCACTCCCAGGGCCTGACAGCTACTCCCCATTATCGTCCTTCAGTTCGAAGCCCTGGCCAATCTACTAGCCCACATGACGCAGTTACCTGGCCATTTCTCCACGGTTCCCGTGAGGGCCCCACACCCAGGCGCACAAGAACCCCTCCTGCATTCCGTCCTCACACGCAGGCCTGTCCATCTACTTGCTACTGTCACACTCTTGCCAGCAGAAGAGGCCCCTGTAATGGCCGATATCACCACCCAGTCTATCCTCACCCCACAGCTGTGCAGCGGGAACCTCCTGCTGGCCCACGTGGTTGCCACAGCCCATGCTGGCACGACGCTCCAGCAGGTCGGCGTCCCTGCGGGCCACACTACCGGTGACATGGCTAGCATGACCCTCCTTCCTGGCAGTGACACTGTTGATGTGAACCCCAGTTTCACATCTGTCATTTGTAAATAGGACCATTTTCCCTTTTCGCTCTCCCTTCCATTCACAGGGCTTTTCATTCTCTCTGTTTCTGCCTCCGTTTCAGATATTTACTCACCTTTTTCTCTCTCACTATGTCTGCCGTGGTCTCCATGAGACTACGCCACGTAAGATTCCCCCATTAAAGGTCATGAATTGAGTGGCTTTTAGTATACCTGTGGTTGTGCACATTCAATTTTAATTCGCAATCCATTGTAAAACGTCTTATCACCCCCGACCAGAGAAAGACCCTGTAGACATTAGTCACTCCTCATTCTGTCTCAAACCCTCTCCCTGACCCTCAGCCCTAGGTAGCAACTACCTAGTGCGATCAATCCCATATGCATAGATTTCCATATTGTGGACATTTCCTATAAACGGAATTGCACAATAGGTGAGCTGCTATGACTGACATAACACGTAGCACAATATTTTCAAGATTCATCCACATTGTAGGCTTACCCACAGGGGGAAACCATTTTTTGGGGGGTTTTAGTAACACCGGTGTTTTCTCCTTCCTTTCATCCTTCTTTCCTTCCTTCCTTCCTTCCTTCCGTCCTACCTTCCTTCTTTCCTTCCTTCCTGTCTTCCTTGCTTCCTTCCTTCCTTCCTCCTATTTCTCTCTTACTCCTTCTGCCCTCTCTCTTTCATATGCCTTAGGTGCATCCCACATTCTGCGTTTTTTGGGGGAAATCCTCGACAGGTGCAGGAAAATTGTGTTATTGTAACTATTTACCGCTATCTCTCTTTCACGGCTCTCCATCACTTGTGAACATCTATTGCTTTATCCCAAGTCACTAAGCATATTTTTATTAGGTACTCCTGTTTTTCCTTATACAGCTGTTTCTGGAGTGTAGGGTCGCATACTCATAAACCCAGTGTAACTCAGAAACGAATCTAATATTCCAATAAACCCATCATAACGTTGAAAAATCATAAGTCAAACCATCATAAGTCACGGTTTGTCTGTGGATATGGGCGTCATCAATTCCGTTGTATTCAGTAATGCTGTACACCATTAACAATGGCAGACTGATTGGGAGTGGATATTGATAGCATTATAAAAGTCAGTTATTAGAGGGATACTTCTTTAACCTGACTGAAGAACTGATCTGATGGCTTTAGTACAGTGCATGATTACGTGAGATGTTTTGAGACAGAGTAGTACATTTGTGAATGAAATTTTATGGCTTTTTTTTCACTTAGTAGGAACCATTGTGTGTGGAAAAGTGAGAAAATTGCTTTCTGCTGTAGGGTCTGGCATTCATTGTAGATTTAAGCTTATTTTTCTGTGAGCAAATCTTATTCAATAAAATACTACTCTTTATACTAAAAAACAAAAACAGTGGTGATGTGTGGTCATTATCGTCAGCAAACTAATCCAGGGAAAGAAAACCAAACGCCACCTTCTCACTTATAATGGGAGCTGAAAAGTGAGATCCCATGGACACAGGAAGGGGAACAACACACACTGGGGCCTTTCGGGAGGCAGAGCGTTAAGAAAAACAGCTACTGCATGCTGGGCTTAATACCTAGGTGACGGGTTGACAGGTGCAGCAAACCACCATGGCACACGTTTACCTTAGTAACAAATCTGCACATCCTGCACATATACCCCAGAACTTAGAAACGAAACGAAACAAAAGAAAACGAAAAAGCAATAGCAAAACGCTAAAGGCAAAATAAAGTTTCAAACTCAGAAAGTGACAGACCAACGTTTGGTTCAAATCATGGTCCTAAACCCAGGTGCCATAAGGTCAGGATAAAGAATTTGATTACATATTGTAAATATGACATGCAGTAAATGACCAGAAAGATTATTCTCCACATATGTGTGTCTTCTAATTCAATGGTGACGCTATCTACCGGGACATAGCATTAGATTCCAAAGGGTCGAGTCCCGCCAGACAGGCCTCCCACACCAATAACAATGGGAAGCCCTACGTTGTTTTACCTGTGCTTCTCAGCAACTGGCTATAAATCAGGTTGCCACCACTCCCAGATTTAGTTGCATTCATTTGCTGGAAGAGCTCACAGCACGCAGGGAAACACTTACATTTGCCGTTGTATTTTAGCGGACATTGCACAAGGTTCAGAAATAAATGTGGGGCCCGGCATGCGGGGAGGGGTGCACTACCTTCCAGGAAGTGTTATCCAGAAGCTCTCTGAACCCAGTCCTTTTGGGTTTTGATGGAGACCTCATTCTATAGGCATGATGGGTTAAACCATAGGCTATTGGTGATCAACTCCACCTGAGGCTCTCCACCCTCCCTGGAAATTGGGGTTGAGGCTTTGCCATTCTCAGTCTGACTAAAAGAATTTACCCAAACGGAATTTTAAAACAGATGAGCATAACTGGAATCTTAATTAGATGATTGGATTATCTGGAGAAACACCTTGATATTCCTAACCCGAGCACCCTCATCCAACGAATGCTCCACCCAACTGGCTCCCAAGTCTCTACGTGGTTCCAGAGCCAAAGAATGTTTATACAACGCATATCTCCACCTTTTCTTCAAAGTCTTTTCGCTTACACGGAAAGACTTCTTCAACTGCCATGCTTCAGGGTCAGGGGGAGGTCTTGTTACAACACAGATCTGCGGATCTCCGGGGTTTGATTGTGGCAAGGATGCTGCTGGTGTCAAAACCACAACGTGGGAAGCACAGAACCACTAGTTGGTTTTCAGTGTTTCAGTGCATACAATTCCTAATAAATCTGGCCAAGAAAACCTGTAAGTTCTTAGATTGTCCCAAAGGTGGCGCATGAAATCAAAGCAGGAGAACAGTTTCCTACGAGGTGTAGCCTGGGAAAGTTGGGGGTGACTGATGGAAAGGAGGAGTGAAGCTCCGCCCTTTCCGCTGCTAGGCTGCGCCCGAGGCTATTTAAACCCACCCTGGCTGGCCTGTACTCAGATCTTCGCGGAGCGGATCAGCGGCCGGAGCGTTTGGCGGACTCTGCGTGGACTTGGAGCTCACAGCGTCTTGCGACTTGAAAGCGGATTCAGAGGACAGGACAGAACACTTGGGCAAGTGAATCTCTGTCTGTCTGTCTGTCTGTCTGTCCCATTGGTTGGTTGATTTCCATTTCCTTAAGGGGCCCATACCTCACACCGCACACACACAAACACACACACACACACACACGCACACGCACACACGCACACACACTCCTTCCTTCTGCGAGTTAGAACATTAGTGGGGGCCCCTGGGAGCTGCAGGTTTCCTAATCATGTCTGCACCTAAGAACAGTAGGGTCTTGTCTGGCTCTTCTTATGAACGGTCCCCCAGCACGGACACCCCAAGGTCCATGCGAGCCTCACCCAGCTTCTCCCTCTCCCCTCTCAGAAACTCAGGCTTAAGGGGAAGCTCCTCACCAGGGATCCGGAACTACCATTCACCATCCCCTAGGGCTTCACCACACTCACCTCTGTCATCACCAGAATCCCACAAGCTCCCATTTCCCTGTCCTCACCGTGATGGGCAATCAATGAAGCCATTGGGCTCTGCCGTGTCCTCCTCTGAGGACTCCTCAGAGTCCCCACGTTCATCAATAATATACCACATGTTCTTACTGCCATCACCCAGCAGCTCACCCCCAGCTCTCGGGGGTTCTCCTGTGTCTCCCAGCTACTCTCCAAACAACCCCAGATTTCAGCTGGAGTCAGACCCCCACACCCAGGAATCACCTACAAACTCACGAGCCTCACGCTGCTCCACCCCTGTGTCTTGCATCTCTTCACCCCCAGGCCTCAGGGACCCTCCTGTGGCTCCCAGTTACTCTCCAGCCATCCCCAGGTTCCTGCGGGAGTCAGCCCCATGCACCCAGGAGTCCCCCAGAGACTCACAGGTCTCGGGAGAATATGAGCGGTCCCCCAGCCCTGACTCCTCAAGATTCATGCCTGCCTCACCCAGCTTCTCCCTCTCCCCTCCCAGAAACTCAGACCCAAGGGGCAGCTCCTCACCAGGGATGTGGAAGTCCTCTACATCATCCCGCAGGGCTTCACCACTCTCACATCCATCATCAACAGAATTC